>NC_000010.11:8949393-9100909 GCF_000001405.40 Homo sapiens | reverse complement strand
GTCTTGAACTTCTGATTTAGGTGATCTGCCAACCTCAGCCTCCCAAAGCTCTGAGATTACAGGCGTGAGCCACTGTGTCCGGCCTAAATTCGATTTTAATATGGTTTTGAAAATGTTACTAAATACTGACTTCTAATAATATCAGTGATATGAATTGGACACTAAATTGCCAACTAATGACTATTTCAAGGTTCCATATTAACTTTAAAGCAGATGCTATTTGCACACCCAGTTTACCTGAAAAATAGATACATTCAAATACCTGGAGACCTGTGCAGGTAAAGTGCAGTCCATGTGCCTTATTCCTCAAAATGCACACATTAGAAAGGATTATACTCTTTGTAGAGAAGAGAAATACAACTCTAGCTTAAGCAAAAACGCGTTTTATTGGAAGTGTACTGCTATAGACCTCTGAGTTGAAGGAAGATGCTTGTTTTTCTATCCTTGTGTTAACAACATTCTCTCAAATAAGTGGTGGGTCCAGGAACTGTAAACTCAAATCTTTAAATCTTTATGAGCAGAAGAAAAAGAAGTCTCTTTCTCCCAGCTGTAGTTTGAAATAGCTTAAGAGAAGAATTCTGACAGACCCAGCAGGGCTCAGCTACCCCTTCCCAGTCACTGTGGTCAGCAAATTTGTCATTCCTACCTCATAATAATTTTAGCGAATGCTTGCTACATTCCAGAAACTATGAAAAGCATTTTACATGGATATTTCAATCATTATGATAATCCCATTAGTTGTTTGCTATTGTTATTCTTAATTTGCAAATTAAAAACTGGCACAGAGAAATTAAGTCACCTAATGCCCCACAGCTGAAAAGTGACAGGACAATGCAATCTGAATCAGATCCAAGCTTTAAACCACACAGGTGGGCTTTGTGGGACAAGGAGGTAATAAGCCTGTTGTAGGAGACAGAATACTTACAGAAAAAAATTAGCCAAAAATTAGCCGTGGTCGGGCACAGTGGCTCGCGCCTGTAATCCCAGCACTTTTGGAGGCCGAGGCGGGCAGATCACGAGGTCAGGAGTTCGAGACCAGCCTGGCCAACATAGTGAAACCACGTCTCTACTAAAAGTACAAAAAATTAGCCGGACGTGGTGGCGAGCGCCTGTAATCCCAGCTACTCGGTAGGCTGAGGCAGGAGAATCTCTTGAACCTGCAAGGCAAGGTTGCAGTGAGCCGAGATCATGCCATTGCACTCCAGCCCGGTCGACAGTGTGAGACTCCGTCTCAAAAAATAAAATAAAATAAAGTAAAGTAGAGTAGAGTAGAGTAGAGTAGAGTAGAGTAGAGTAGAGTAGAGTAGAGTAGAGTAAAGTAAAGTAAAAAGTAAAGTAAAGTAAAGTAAAATAAAATAAAATAAAATAAAATAAATAAAATAGAGGAAAAATGAGCCATGGTCAAACTGACTCTTGAGGACCACTTCAAGGACAGTAGTCATGACTTTACCCACAATCGCTTCTTCTGGGCTTGGCGCGGTGGCTCCCTCCTGCAATCCCAGCACTTTGGGAGGCCAGGGCAGGTGGATCACATGAGGCCAGGAGTTCGAAACCAGCCTAGCCAACGTGGCGTAACTCCATCTTTACTAAAAATACAAAAATTAGCCGAGTGTGGTTGCACGCTCCTGTAATCCCAGCTACTTGGGAGGCTGAGGCAGGAGAATTGCTTGAACCGGGGAGGCAGATGTTGCAGTGAGCTAAGATTGCTCCACTGCACTCTGGCCTGGGTGACATAGCGAGACTCTGTCTCAAAACAAGACAAAACAAAACAAGTAACTTCTCCTGAATCCTTCTTTCTCCTTCCATGATACTTGAGCAGTGAAATGATGACAACATTTACACTACTGAACATATTTTGTTGTCTTTTTTCTTTCTCCTCTTTCTTCTTATAAAGCCTGTTCATTTAAATGATTCCAAGTTTAATACACATGTGGCATGAATGTGACTGTGCAGCATATCCAGTATTTTATCTCCAGACTCTAGTGAAAGGCTAGATTAGTACCTTTTAATGAGGATGTGGGAGAGCCAGGGACATGGTGGCATGGGAATGGGAATGGTGGCAATTATTTGAGATGGAGCGATGAGGCTCGGGAAGTTTCTCCTGGGAGACAAAGGTGGTGCCTAGAAAGGGGGTGGCCTGGAAAACAAATTGCTGTATTTTACCATTATTTAAATATGGGGGCAACTCTAATAAAAAGGCAGGAAAAGGTTAATGTTTACTCTGTGGACCAAATGCTCAAAAATATACATTAACTCTGTTCATCTTCATAATGCCCCCTGTGAAGGAGGTCTCCCCACCTCCAATTTAAAGATGAAAGCTCAGGGAGGTAAAATAAGTTGGCCTAGGTTACATGGCTAGAAAGTGATAGAACAGTACATGGGAGATGAGCAGAGATTTGACTCCAAAATTAGTTTTTTTCCACTATAACAGACTGACCCAGGAAATCAATCCTTTAAGTTCTAATTTTTAAAAAACTACTAAAATGTCTGGAAAACAATCTTCAAGGAAACATAAAATATATTCTATATTAGAGAAGTGTTTGCTAGTTTAAACACTGATAACCTTTTGTAACCATATATATTTGTAAAGGGACTACCAAAAGGTGGGGAATAAGGGGATTATCAAATGGAGGTGTATTCAGAGGATTAAAGTTTGACTTCCTATATGAATAGAAAACAAACATAAATTTCGTATAGAGAGGTTTTGTATCTGGACAACTTTGGCTAGGTGTTGACAGCAAGGGTGCCTGGCCTAGCTGCCCTCTGCTGCCCGTGGGCTCTCTCTAAGGCTAACTTGCCCACAGAGTTCCTACACTGCGAGTGAAATCTCGAATAATTTAGGGCTGCCTGAATCACCTGATGCTTTCCAAGGGAGGAATTTCACTTAAAATAAGATGGCTTATGGTCTATTTCCTGGCAATTTGGAAAGATTTGCACTACACTGATTGCCCATTATGCAGTAACTGTGTTTTGTCAGATACTCATTTATTTTAATGCAAGTTTGCTTTATCCAGCCAGTTTGTTGACTGTTCCTTCCTGAGTAGGTCTGTAATCTAAACTTTAAAGGAGGATTAAGCTTCATGGTATTTACTTAACTAAGCATTGTCATTGTTGTCATTGTGTTATATCCTCTTATGTATTTGTTACCTGGAGAAAAAAAGACTTTTTTTTTTTTTTAAATATGGGCCTTCCTGTTACATTTAAATGAAAGCCTTTGTGGCTTTGAAAAAAATTGTTCTATGATCTGAAACTGTCATTTAAATAGAACCAAGAGTTAACATAGACTACAATGCTTTTAATCACGTTTTTTGTTTTTGTGTGGTTTTTTTTTTTTTTTTTTTTTTTTTTTACTGTTCTATGCACCCATAAATAACGGAAGAAATACAACATAGCTAATCTTTTCTCTTTTAATCTCTGAAATACCATGAATAGTTAGCAGGCCAACAAAAAATAATTACAACTCTGTTAGTCATATTTGGTCCACACCTTTCCAGGAATTGCATTGGTTTTCAGTATCCCTTTGAAAATAACCTATGCTTTTAATGGAAAACCTGCTTATCTCTTCTGCATGACTTATAGCCCCAAGGCAAATAGAATATACAGCTGTGTTTTGGAAACTTTTTAATATTAATTGTTCATGAATCAGAAGAAACAGAAGAGTTCAGTAAATGTTTGAATGAGAGAAAAAGAATGAGTAAATGTTGCTCCATAAAACTTATTCACATCTCATAAAATCCCAAATTCACCAGTTTCTCATTTTCTTCCAATCAACTTTCATCAACTTTTATTATCATATTATATAATTTCCAGATATTGTTTTTTTTATTTTTTTATTTTTTTGAGACGGAGTCTCAATCTGTCATCCAGGCTGGAGTGCAGTGGCGTGATATCAGCTCAGTGCAACCTCCACCTCCCAGGTTCAAGCGATTATCCTGCCTCAGCCTCCGAGTAGCGGGGATTACAGGCATGTGGCACCATGCCTGGCTAATTTTTGTATTTTTAGTAGAGATGGGGTTTCACCATGTTGGCCAGGCTGGTCTCAAACTTTTTAAAATTTTCTAACAGAAACACTATGTGTTTCAGTGAAGTCGGAGACCCCCACAGCTTCAAAGATGAATCATGACTGGTTTTTAGGGCCAGTTATATTTTATGTGACCCGTTTCACTTACAGGTATTGGTTTAGTAGAAGCAGATGATCCAATTCTGGACAATTATATATTTGAGGAGACCTGGTAAGAAATGATTTCTGGTTCTTAAAAAATTAAAAGACTCAAGGAAGAAATAGCTCCTTGTGTTTCTGGACATCATGTGTGAGGGCATGACCCTTTGAACTGCTGCAGCCAGTTTGCCACCATGAGGCTACCTGCGCAAGGACAGGAGCCAACCCGCTGTGGTTAGCAGAGAAAAAAGATGAAAAGAACCTGGCTCTTTGAGCTATGGGTACGGAACTGACACACAAGCTTCCTGTTATGGGAACTGATATGCTGTAGCCACGTAAGCAAGAAGTTCTGTTACCAGCAGCTAAGCACAACCTAACTGATACTCTTTATTATTTGTATAAAATGCTACAGATAGATGAATTGCCATAAATCTGTCACTCCAGGGTTTGGACTGAAATCTGAGTGGGACAGGCAGAGAGAGTGGAGAATGGAAGGGGGAGAGAGATGATATAGACCTAGGATAATTCCCATATAACTTATAAACCCTGGATATTACATGAATACAAAAATGTGCTGAGATAAGCTTCACTCTTCAGTGAAGAAAAAAACTGACCTCTGAGAAAATATTTTGGAAGATAGGCACCTCATAATTTGTCTTAGGAAGAGAAATGTTCCAACTTCTCTTTGACACATGTTTCAACACAAATGGGTTAATAGAAGCTCCAACTCTTTTGAAAGGTAGTTGCACCCACTGGGTTGTGAAGACAGATAGCTGGAGAAGAAAGGTAACTAGAGGGAACAGGTGCAGGTACAAAAATCAGGCCAGTGTACCTGGGCTTGAGAAATCATGGAGACCAGGTCAGGGGGTGAAACTGAGCTAGAGAGATGGGTAGGAATCAGACTATGGGGAATCCGGCAGGGCATGCAAGAAATTTTATTGTATTAAGATAAAATCTAGTGAAGGGTGGCACATAAAAGCTTTTTTTTTTAAATTTAACAATGTGAAGCTTTGAATTCTGTATATGGAATACATTACTTTGTTCACTGACGAAATGATTCATCTATTAAAGAAGACAAAACAACTGAAAAAGACTCATTTTTGAATGCAGTGATTCCCATTCTAGGAATTCAGCTTAAGGAAAGAATCTGACAAGTAGTCGAAGATTATGTGCCAGGGTCTTTATCACAGGATTATTTATATTAATAAGAACAAGAGACAACCAAATAGCACACAAAAACGGAAAGACAATTAATTCATAAGACTTTCTTGCAATTGGATTTTAGGCAGCAATTAAGATTATTTGAAGAATATTTGATGTCATGAGAAAATGCTCATAAAAAGTCGAGGTGGGGAGAAGAGTATCATGCAAAACTAAATACAAAGCATGAATCATATTTTGGGAAAAAGGGAGGTAAAGGGGAACAAATTTATATTTATATGCATAGGAACAATCCCCATTCCCCCTGCCACACACACATACAGTGAAAAATATGACTAGGCCGGGCGCGGTGGCTTATGCCTATAATCCCAACACTTTGGGAGGTCGAGGCGGGAGGATCATGAGGTCAGGAGTTTGAGACCAGCCTGACCAACATGGTGAAACCCCGTCTCTACTAAAAATACAAAAATTAGCTGGGCATGGTGGTGCATGCCTATAATCCCAGCTACTCAGGAGGCTGAGGCAGGAGAATTGCTTGAATCCGGGAGGCGGAGCTTGCAGTGAGCTGAGATCATGCCACTGCACTCCAGCCTGGGCGACAGAGCAAGACCCCATCTCAAAAAAAAAAAAAAAAAGAAAAATATGACTAGAATTAAATTCAGTGTAGCTACAATATTTATTCCCAGAGAGTAGGCATTAGACAGTTGTCTTATGTATAAGCATGTAAACATGGATTGTTTTACATGTTGAAAATAATGATTTGTAAATCAAAACACAAAAGCTAAAAGTAGTTGAAAATTAAATTTCAAGAAAAAATAATTACTTATAATGTGAGCAAGGAGAAAATATGGTATTCTCAGGAAATAAGCAATATTATGGCACCAACCATAATATAGAATACATATGGGAAAAGCCTTTACGGAAATGGAAAGCAAGATGTTACACTGCTGTGGAAATAATTAAGTTACAGTTAAACTAGAAAATATTTTACATATATAATATCAAATGTCATTTATATATTATAAATGACATTAATGTTTATGTATCTATACATTACGCATACATTACCTAAAATATATTATGTTTATTATACACATATATGAAATACAATTTTATATATGACAATTTTGTTTGTATCTATTTCAGGGAAGCAGTAATGTCTCTAGCAGCAGGGAATAATAGCTAACTGATAAAGTAGTAAAGCACAGACCTAAGACTATGCATTCTGCTTCCCTTCTTTTATAAAAGCTGTAGTATATACCCTTATTAACTCTGTATCTGTAGGTATAATAAGAATGATCTCACTCCAAAATTCCTACTTTTTAGAGTTTATTTTTATTTTTTTTTTACTTTTATTTTAGATTCGTGGGTACATGTGCAGGTTTGTTATATAGGTAAATTGTGTGTTACAGGGCTTTGGTGTACAGATTATTTTGTCACTCAGGTAATCAGCATAGTAGGTAGATTTCGATCCTCACCCTCTTCCCTCCCTCCACCCGCAAGTAGACCCCAATGTCTAATGTTCCCTTCTTTGTGTCCATGGGTACTCAGTGTTTAGCTCCCGCTTATAAGTAAGAACATTCAGTATTTGGTGTTCTGTTCCTATGTTAGTTCACTTAGGATAATGGCCTCTAGATCTATCCATGTTACTGCAAAGGATGTGACCTCATTCTTTTTTTATGACTGCATTGTATTCCATGGTACATATCTACCACATTTTCTTTATCCAGTCCACTATTGATGAGCATTTAGGTTGATGCCATGTCTTTGCTATTGTGAATAGTGCTGCGATAAACATACGCATGCATGTGTCTTTCTGGTACAATTATTTTAGATTTTACATCTGAGAAAGTGAGGTAAATTTTTTCCAAGTTGCAAAATTATTTAGTGTCAGCAAGAGTCTAAGATCCCTGGGCTCTTGATGCTGATAGAGTTTCCACTAAACCGCAATGATGCGACACTTGAGGAAAAGTTCTGCAACACCAGAGTAAGTGGCATATAAAAAGTGTTTGATATTTTTGTGCTGTGTAAATAAATAAATAATGGAAAAATCCTCTGAGTCTAAGAATGTCCTGGATTCAAGTCTTATTTCTTCTATTGGTTATCAGGTGGCCTTCTGTTTTTCACATAACATCGCTGTGCCTCGGTTTCTTATTTGTAAGATAAAGAGATTATATTCAATATTCTGTCGTGTAATTGAGGTGGCCTGAAGAATGACGTGACTGGGGAGAACAACACGGCTCTGGCAAGGATGTATTGTTATTTTTGTCTTGCTCATCCAAATAGTTCATCTTCCTTTATCTTGGTCCATTTATGCTGTTGTAACAAAATATTCAAGACTGGGTAATTTAGAAAGAACAGAAATCAATTTTCTCACAGTTCTGGAGCTGAGAGGTCCAAGATCAAGGCATCAGCAGATTTGGTTGTTTGGATAGCGCTGCTCTCAGTCGCATTGCTGCGTCCCACAGTGGGGAGGGATGCTGTGTCCTCACCTGGAGGAAGGCAGAAGGCAAACGAGCCAACTCCCCATGAAGCCTCTTTCATAAGGACCTTAATCCCACTCATGAGGAAAGAGGCCTCATGGCCTAATCCCCTGCCAAACACCACACCAATGCTATGACATTGGCAACACCTAAATTTTGGAGGGGACACATTCAAACCGTACCATCCTGGGAGCTCCATATAAGTAGTTGAGCTATTGCAACCGAGCAGTAGCTGAATAACTATTATGTATCCATGAGAACTTACAGTAAGTGAAAAAATGATTACAGATGAATTTAGGGAGAGTCCAAGAGTGACACTTTCATTGTTGTAGTTGGAAAGAGCCCACAGGGGAAATGGGGAAGAAGAACAATTTGACTTAAGGGAAGAGACTTTGGGGATAAGCACATGTAATGAATTCTCAAGAGAAAACGCAATGTAACTGCTTCTGAAAGACTTTTACAAAAATATTCATTTGATAAGTAAGATATGAATGAAAAAGGCAATAAAGAAAGATAGTTGGACAGTGACATACTAAAAAAAGCTTTTATTGTATTATCTGTAGGGAGAAAGTGCCCTATGCTAGAGGAAGTTAATTTTTTTTTTCTCTAAGTAAAGAACTGTAAAACCATAACTGGATTTAAGCCCACCCTTCCAAAATTAGAGGCAATGGTAGAACTAGGGTCTCATGAAACTTCCCAAATTAAATTTTGTTTGACAGTAGAAACAATGATAAAAATAATAGTGGAACCTATTTTTAAGGTTATTGTAAGGATTAAATAAATTAATACAGATAAATTCCTTAGTGACAACAGTATCTGGCATATAATAAGTCCTGCACTAGTGTTAGCTCTCATTATTACTATTGTCTTTGTCACTATTGATGTTATTATTTGGTCTGAAACATATCCAGGTTGGTCTTTCTACCTTTCTGGCAAAATTAATTATGGTTTGTTATTAAACAAATATAATCTGTAACTTTTGATTACATGGTTTCTACTTACTTTTGAATAGAACAATCCATTCTGTTGACTAGATGAATCAGTTTATTTAAATTAAACATGTAGGAAGCCTCTTACTTGCTGTAGCAAAGCATGTGTAGCTATATTTTTCTGCTGATCAAAATGAAATAAAAGTCAAACTACTATTTTTTTTTGTTTCAGCTATGAATGCCTGGTCTTATCTGAGAGATCACGGGCTCTTCACGGGGTATTTTGCTAGCTGGGAGGGTATAGAAGTCAACTCAAATCCATTCTTGAAACTTAAACATCTTCCCACACAATTGAACTTTAATTTCTAAGAATCAAATTTCTATTTGCAAGTACCTAAGAAATATGAATCACTTTTTTAGTTCACTGAATGACACAGGTCCTGAGGTCTTCGAGATACAATATCCAAGCAATAACAAGTCACTTTCACATTTTAGAAAGTAACCACCCTACTAAAAGAAGTAGAGGGAGTCCACCTGTCATTTCCTTTCTGCTTTCAGTATGAATGAAATCAGTCCCACATAATGTATTCTGGGTCCTAATGAAAATTCTAACTAATTTCCTACATGAAGTGAAATTTTCTGAAAATAATTTGTTGTTTCATATAGATTTTTACAGAATTATTAACTAAAACTATAGGAAAAATAGGTTTTCTCCAGCTGGTAAGACAAGGAACATATCTCAAAGTTTACAAATTCAGAAGTTCTTTGATTTAGAGGTTTGAAGCTTTTCAGCTTTGGGTGAACCTTAAGAAACAGCATTTAAAAACCCTTACATATGGGGAAACAAATTAACAATAATTGGGTTTATAAAAGTGTTAGGTGCTGTTCTAAGTGCTTAGTTGTATAATTCATTTGGTAGTTATTTTCAGGTTTAAATGTTAACTATTCATTGGAAATAATATACATATATATTGTAACAATAAACAGTGTTTTAAAATTTATTTACATATCACGGAAAAATTGATAACCCTTGACTTTAAAAAATACCCAAAGAAAGAGAGACACTTTTTCTCATTCTTATATTTTATTTGCCTTTCTCTTTCAACACAGTTCTCTCATGCAACACACTACATTTTTCTTACCCAAATTCTATTTTTGCATTACCAAGTTTGTATGTGTTCTGTGGCATTTGTACAATCAACATAATGCTGTTACTGGGGAAGAAAGTGCAAATTACATGTGAACTGCCCCAGAACTGGGTAGGTAATTTCATGAAGATACAATATCTGTGACTCCATTAAAAGGACACCAAACATACTTTGCCTACAAATAGTCATGGAGTATTAGGGATGGAAAGGCTCTTAGCCTTCATCTGTCACAATTCTTCTCTTGAGAAAAAAGGAAGATTTTAGCCCAGAATGGGTAAATAATTGTTTGTAATGAGAATCAGTGACAGACTTGGGACTAAATCCAAAGTCTTCTAAGTTCTGACTGTGAATTCACTGTTCTCCCAATATACTTGCATTAATACTTTGTGACAGGATTGTTTCTGCTGCCTTCACAGTATGTTCACCAGCACTGGGTTTTTTGTTGTTGTTGTTGTTCTGCTTGCTTTGCTACTTATTCAGGTTATCAATTGATTTATGTATTGATAATGCTATAATAAAAAAAGTCTTGGGAGATCTGGTGAATGAGGTTCAGGGAATATCTCTGTGCAACTAGGCTTATGACTGGGCAAGTAATTTATTTATGTTTTATTTATTTATTTTTTATTATTATTATACTTTAAGTTTTAGGGTACATGTGCACAACATGCAGGTTTGTTACATATGTATACATGTGCCGTGTTGGTGTGCTGCACCCATTAACTCGTCATTAAGCATTAGGCATATCTCATAATGCTATCCCTCCCCCCTCCCCCGACGTGTTTTATTTTTTTAAGACTTAAATGTAAAACCCCAAACCATAAAAACCGTAGGAGAAAACCTAGGAAATACCATTCAGGATATAGACATTGGCGAAGACTTCATGACAAAACATGCCAAAAGCAATTGCAACAAAAGCCAGAATTGACAAACGGGATCTAATTAAACTACAGAGCTTCTGCACAGCAAAAGAAACTATCATCAGAGTGAACAGGTAATCTACACAATATGAGAACAATTTTGCAATCTACCTATCTGACAAAGGTCTAATATCCAGAATTTGCAAGCAACTTAAACAAATTTACAAGAAAAAAACAAACAACACCATCAAAAGGTGGGCAAAGAATGTGAACAGACACTTCTCACCAGCACTGATTTTAAAGCTTAGAATTAATAGTGGCCAAAGGCATATATGACTCTATTTGATTGTCAGACCAAATATCTACCTGTATTCTTTCAATCCAAAGGCCACAGGCTTTGCCTCTCTGACATGACCAAAAATCAGTGGGTACTAAAAGGTTGTTATTCAAAGCAGTCTCATCCTACCTCTTTTGAATGGCTTGTGGCTTGTTGGGGAAAATTTAAAAAAAGGCTAGAAACATCCATAGCCACAAACTCAGGCTGAGCTGAAGAGTAGGAGCCACTGTTTCTACTGAGTACTAAACATCCTTTGTAATGCAGCTCCAATAACCCCAGTTCAGGCTTAAATAGCACAAAAAAATCCAATCTGTCTGAATTTTCAAAAAGTAGCTGAGGTTTTCTCTTTACTTACTCATACTTGTAATATGCTCTCAGCTTATATGTTTGAAAAGCAACCGATACATTTTAAAGGCCACCCAATACCTTTAAATATTTTCACAGAATTTTAGAGCTGGAAGAGATTCTAGTAATTGTCTAACTTCACAAACAAGAAAAATGTAGCCTAAAGACGTAATGCGACATGCTCACGGTCACATTTTGAATTTGTCACATAGCTGAAAGAAGTCTACCTTACATCAGGGCCTGTATTATTTCCACTGCTTCTAAAGTCAACTAAAAGCTTATATAAGCCATCTAAAAGTATAGCATGAATTTTCTAGGTATAAAAATGGAATCTAAACTATTCAGATTCACTGAAAATGACCACTTACTTGATATTTCAAATATCTTGAAAATTTTGTCCCTAGTTTGTTAGCATGTTTTAGAGGATAGGCAGGATTCCAGAATTTAAGCAGAAAGCTTTCCCCTTCTTTCCAAGACATAGGAGGAATGATAGAATCTCAACTCTGTAATACAAAATATTCTTCGTGATCTACTGAAGCTTTACTTCTTTGTTTAAAGAGTGACTGTGTTTAAAATTCTAGAGCAATAGATATTTTTAGGACCATAAAACAGTGTCAGATACTTGGCTTAAAAAACAAAGCCCATCTGAGAATTCATGCTGAAACCAAGAGGTAGCTATAGTCACATCCCTGTCCTGTTCAAATCTTTTAGTGTTATCTTTTGGGAAAACCACTCTGGTAGAGGTGGAAATAATTGATTGGATAATGGCAGAAATTTATCGGAAGCAAGGACCGTGCTCTACCAGGCAAGAAATCTGGAAATAAAACTTAAAAAAAATCTCTGACTTGTGAAACTTACATGCAAGCAGGGTAAGACGTACTGGAACAATAAGTAAAATAAATAAGTAAATTATTTGTTAGAAGGAATAAGTACAATGGACAAAATATAGTGCAGGATAAAGGGAGTTCAAGTTCTGGGAATAGAGGGAAAGTTGTACTCTTAAATCAGATGATTAAACTAGGAAAATAAGAACAGCCAAACAAACACAGGAAGGATATGAGAGACTTTAAATTTTAGATATCTGGGAAAATAGCTAATACAGTGAGTGGTCCTAAGGCTGTCACACATTTGACGCATTTGAGAAACAGCAAGTAGGTTTGTGTGGCTGAAGAGAAACTTTTAAAAACGGGACAGAGGAAAAAGAAATGAGGTCAGAAAGTTAACGGACTCCTGATCTTGTAAGAGTGTCTGGGTCATTGGAAGGCCTTTGATTTTCACACTGAGTGAAATGGAATGGTTATGGAATATTTTGAGCATAGAAGTGGTATGATCTTTCTTATGATTTAAAAAGAGTCATTCTGGGATCTCTGTTGGAATTAAAGTGCAGTGGGGGAGATTGAGAGTAGGGAGGCAGATTAGCAGACTACAGCAGGGATCCAGGCAAGAGGAGACAAGTGAGAAGAGCAGATGGTAGCAGTGAAGATGGTAATTAGTGGTTCAATGGTAGACATATTCTGAAAATAAATGCAATATGATTGCCTGGTGTTTTGGGTAAGAAGAGAGAGAAAGAAAGGGGTCAACAACGTTTCCAAGGCTTTTGCTCTGCACAAAGTGGAAAGATGGAGTTTTCATCAGTGGGTATAAGGGGAGGCTGTAGATGAAACAGGTTTGGGAAAGAAGAATGCAAGTTCCACTTTGGATATATTATGCTTAATGTGCACATTAGACATTAGATATCCTAATGAAAATATCGAGTCTGGAGCTTGGAAGAGACTTCTGATATGGAAATAGACATTTGAGACTTGAAGGCATATAGATGCTATTTAAAGTCACAGAGCTGGACGAGATTGCCACAAATGTAAGTGAAGACTAGGAAGAGAAGAGAACCAAAAAGAAACAAAACTTGGAGCATTGAATCTAAGAGATAGGATGGAACCAGACATGGAGTTTGAGAACCAATAATCAGTAAGGTTGGAGAAAAACTGGAAGAAGCAGTTGTCTTGGAAGCCAGTGAAGAAAGTATGTCAAGGAGATGCAAGTGATCACCTTTTTGAAATGATTCTATGAGGTTGAGTAAAGATGGGAAATGTGCCTTGTTTTTAGCAAAGAAATCATTGGTAGGGTGATAACACATGCCCAGCTCAGTTTGTCTGGAACAGTCCCAATGAATGTCTGTTTCCATCAAAAGTGCACTCATTTGGGTTTAAGAGAATGGGAGAAGAAGGATTGGAGATAAAAAGTCAAGTGATAGAGGCCTGCATTATGACACTGAAGATTACCATGAGAGATAGATTGGAGATTTGATTAGTTTGGTGTTAGAGTTGAAAAAAAGTTACATGTGGGGTACGTGTGCTGGATATAGCCCATATTTTGTATTTGTTTAACTACGTGATGCCTCACATTGAGATGCAAAATACATGAAAAGGGAGAAATGAAAAGATGATTCAGGAATGATGGTTTCCGTTTTGAGGAACTGGTAGACACAGAAGTGAATTTATATAAACTGGGTCTGAACAGCAATGAATTAGTGATAAGAATTGGAAGTCAGAACCAAAAGATAAGAGTTGAAGTAGGAAGATGCTGTGCTGAGTACAAAGAGAGATGTCCAGGAATAGCACCTATGGTACAAGAATATTTAAGTGCTGAAAGAAGGAGACTAAGAATTAGTAGGTGGATAGGAAGAAAACCAGGACACTAGTGTTCATTTAGGTAAAGAAGAAGATTTTAAAGAAGGGTATTTCTCAAACTACTTAGTGTCCTCAAAAATTCAATTTTCTTTCACGAGTAAAGATATATGGCACCTTAAATTTAGATTAAATCCAAATAAATCTTTGAGAGATTATTTTTATCCATCAATCTTAATTTCTTGTTTTATTTTGTTTTTATCTTAGTGTCTCTAGTTTCTGGCTTGTCAAGTAATATCTGGCATCTATCTCTCTAACAAGCCATTTTAAATTGAATTTTTTAATTGTACTATCTTTATTGCCCAGTCTAAACTTCCCAACTTCCCATAACATACTCAGCTCCTTGATCTCAATCTTTCACAGAAGTCCCTAGAACCACCAATCAACATTATCAGAACTGCAGCTTAGATGGGATTCCTGGAGCTAATTGTTGTCAGGGAATGTGAAATCAGCTAAGAGCCAAAAAGTCATCATTAGATTTGGTAACCAGTAGGTAATGAGTGATATTTGCAAGTGAATTTTTAAATAACTAGTTTAATGGGAATTCAGATTATAGTGTGCTGAAACAATTCTCAAAGGAGAGGTTGGGAATTAGAGTTAGAAAGAGTGGCCAATTATTTGTGGGTTTTGTTGTTGCTGTTTGTTTGTTTGTTTGTTTTGAGATGGAGTCTTGCTCTGTCGCCCAGGCTGGAGTGCAGTGGCACCATCTTGGCTCACTGCAACCTCCGCCTCCTAGGTTCAAATGATTCTCCTGCCTCAGCCTCCCTAGTATCTGGGATTACAGGCACATGGCACCACACTCGGCTAATTTTTGTATTTTTAGTAGAGATGAGGTTTCATTATGTTGGCCAGGCTGGTCTTGAATTTATGACCTCAAGTGATCCACCTCAGCCTCAAAAAGTGCTGGGATTACAGGCGTGAGCCACTGCACCTGGCCAGAAAGAGTGGTCAATTCTTTGAATAAAATTTTTAGTAGTGTAAAAAGGATGGAGGAAGGTTTTGTTTTATTCTGTCTTATTTTTGGAAATTCTTGCTTTTGGAATTCTTGTTTTTGGAAAGAATTGTTAATAGCAAGATGGAGAAAAGGAGCCCTTAGAAAGGGAAATGTTAATAATTTGGAAGACAAAAATATTTATTAAGTAAGGATCGTTGGAAGGGGGTACTAGTTCAAGTTGGAAATTTTAGAATGTCTGAATAATTAGAAATCAAATCATATTCCTCAAAATTTGGAGACGATATCACATGGAGTGAATCAAATATAATAGTTACCATTAATTGGTGTTTATAGGAGAATACATTGTGAATTACTTCCCAATGTATACCTTTATGAGAAGTAAATGTATGGAATCATTTAATTGAACAATATTTCTGTGACTTTGTGAAGCTACAGTCAAAGCTACTTCCACTGTGCCATGTAATTCTCTTATATAAAGTTGGTCTCTTCCATTGACTTTGTACATTTCCATTTATTGGGTTGTAATAAGTGTTTAACTCAAAACATTTCTTTTCAGAGACCTCAGAACTAAATAAATATCTCATCTTTCAATTATATTGTCACATTTTTCTGGAAAATTTATCACCCACTGTCTTCAATAGATATTTTATCACTTTTCATCTCTTGTTAAATTATTCAAATCACCTCTTTCCCAACTCCTCTTCTATTCCACTTCAAAATACTGGTAACTTTTAGCTTTACGTTTTATTTAAAGAAAGATAGATAGAAGTCAGAAGACAGGACCTCCTTATCCTTCCACTACAAAATGTACATCAATACCTACATTGGCTCCTATCACTCCCTTGCCCAAACATTCTTTCTTTCTGATTTCCCATATTACACCTTCTCCTGACTTCCCAGTTACCAATATGACCAGTTCTTCTCAGTCTCCATCATATTTTCCTTTTCTAAATACTTGAGTTCCTCAGGTGATTTAGTGATCTATTTCTGCACACTATGTATTTCTGCTCAAGTTGTCCTGAAACAGAAGCATAAAGCAGCAAACATTTGTTACACCACAGTCTCTCTGAGTTGGAAATCCAGGTGGAGCTCAGTGGGAACCTCTGTCAGTTGGGACTGAAGTCTCATCTGAAAGTTCAACAGGGACAGAATCATCTTCCAAGATTATCTTCATGGTTGAGAAATTAGATATTCACAGGTTGGTGACTGGAGGCCTCCCTCCAGTTCTGTGTGATGTGATTCCCTCCATGGGATAGCTAATAAGAGAAGTACACCAGACAACAAGAAAGGACAAGCAAGATGAAAGTTGGGCTTTATAGCTTAATCTCAGAAGTGACATCCCAACACTTTGCTGTACTCTATTTGTTGGAAGCAAGCCAATAAATCCAGACGATACTCGAGAGAAGGAAATTACACATAAGTATAAATGTCAGGAGTCAGGGGATCATTGGAAACTATTTTAAAAGTTGCCTGGCATATCACAGCTCAGGCTTTTGTCTTTTATCTAATTTTATCTTCTCACTTTGGTGATGCCATTTATTGTCCTCATGATCATATTTCTTATATTCAAAATTTCTCAAAATGTATACTGACAGTTTAGGTCTCTCTTCTGATCTCAATATCTCTTTACTTGACATCTCTGTTTAGTGTTCAGGAGATCTCAAGATTAACATATTCTAAGCAAAATGTTTTATAAAGTATAAATATATATAAGAGTGTCTTGGTCATTGAAAAGCCTTTGATTTTTATGGTGAGTGAAATGGTATAGTTGTGGAATATTTTGAGCACAGAAGTCGTATGATTTTTTTTTTTTTTTTTTTGAGATGAAGCCTCACTCTGTCACCCAGACTGGAGCACATTGGTGCGATCTCAGCTCACTGCAACCTCCAGCTCCCAGGTTCAAGCAATTCTCCTGCCTCAGCCTCCCAAGTAGCTGGGACTACAGGCACACACCACCACGCCAGACTCATTTTGGTATTTTTAGTAGAGACAGGGTTTCACCATATTGGCCAGGCTGGTCTCAAACTCCTGACCTTGTGATCTGCCCACCTTGGCCTCCCAAAGAGCTGGGATTACAGGCATGAGCCACCGTGCCTGGCCGATATGATCTTTTTTATAATTTAAAAAGATTCATTCTGGGATATCTGTTGGAATTAAAGTATAATGGGGGAGATGAAAGTAGGGAGACAGATTAGTAGACTACAGCAGGGATCCAGGCAAGAGGAGACAATCAAGAAGAGCAGATGGTAGCAGTGAAGATGGTAATTAATGGTTCAATGGTAGACATACTCTGAAAATAAATGCAATATGATTGCCTGGTGTTTTGCATGGGAAGATGAGAGAAAGACAGGGGTCAACAATGTTTCCAAGGCTTTTGCTCTGCACAAAGTGGAAGGATGGAGTTTTCATCAGTGGATATAGGGGACGCTGTGGATGAAACAGGTTTGGGAAAGAAGAATGAGAAATAGTTTGGGGGAAATATATATGGCATCTCCATCCTCTCAGGCCAGGCAATAGAACATTGTTCTTGACATCTCTCTCTCCCTCACCTATTGCATCATTCTATCACTTAAATTCTATCAACTAACTTCAAAATTAATGTGTCCTGGATGACTAAAAGAGTCTCTCAATATGTTTCTCTGCTTCCATTCTTGTTCTGTTGAAATCCCTTCTCACCAGCAAATAGACTAATCCTTTAACACTGTAAATAAGCACTTGTCCTTTCCCTTTCTAAACCTTTCAAAGTCTCCTCACTTCTCTGCAAGTTCTTTTGATCTGGTAGCTCCCTCCTTCACTAATCTGATCTCAAGCAGCTTTCTTTATTTCTGAGTCTATCTTCAACCACACCTGGACTTTCTTTAGTTCCTGGAATTCTCTCTGCTCAGAAGAGTTTTCCCACAGCTCTTTGCTTGACTTAGTTCCTGGTCAACCTTCAGGGGTGTCTTCCAGGACCACTCAATCTTACACATTTTCTGAGTACTCAGCCTTTTTTTCTTCCTAGTAGTTATAATTTGTAAACTCCAGGTGATAAGAACTAAATCTATTTTGTTCTCCACTTCCTAATGCCTAGCTGGCACCATGCCCAACACAAAATACTCTGTCAATAACTTTGGCAACGAGTAGAATTATCATTCAAAGAGGATATTCAAAAATCCTGATACAATTTTCTCTGGTACTTTTAAATTCATCAACTCCAATCATAATTATCTTTAATTTGGTCCCTCAATATGGTTTTTACATGTGTATGTTGTTCTTCTGTTCCTTCTAGTTAGCCTTTTTTTTTAGAGTGTTGAGAAAAGTTTCTACAGAAAGATTACACTTTATTAATCTTTAGTGAAGTTGAGAAGATTTACCTTGTAACAACAACATCTAGATTGGTTGTATCTGGAGACTATAAGATTGAGTATTTATTCAGGTTGGATTATTTTAGAGTCTCATTTGAGGGTCTTTTTTGAGATTAGGAAGCAGAGAGCTGGGCAGAGAATGTTGTTTTGTCATGGAGAGATGGTGTACCTTCAGGTATTCTCGTTAATAATAGCCTGGTTGTGCATATGCCATGAAAGAAAGCTATGAAAAGACATATCTGACACTCACGTTGAGATTGCAATCTTCCACCTGATGTTTCTGTTCACAGCTTTCATAAACTTGAGAAAAGAAGTGATAACCCTGAAATGAATCACCATACTAGTGGCATTCTAGTTCAAGTTGAATGGGACTAACAAAATGTACTCCTTAGGAGCCTGAACTCCATTTAACAAATAATGAAACCAGAAAATGCACACAAACAGACATGAGAAACATTAACCCTTTGCTACCCAGGTAAACTTTGGTAAATATGGAGTGTGTGTGGGTGGGGAGATGGGGTGTGAAGTGTTATGTAAAGTGTGTGAAAGTATGTACTTAATCTTCTGCAATCAAAGTTCTTCTCTTGTTGTCTTTAGGAGAGAGCTGCATTGTAGAAGGGAATGAACTAAATTGTATTATCTTATTTGCTATTTGCCTTTAAATATTTTTATTGTAGAAGAAAATCCATTTTTTTTCCAGGTCTCATAGGTATTTATTTCAAGCCAGGGCCTTCTTTCAAAGAGCAATAATCACTGACTCCAATTCAGTTAGTTTGTTTAATGTTTTGTTTTCTTTTATTTTGTTTTTTGAGAGAGTTTTTCTCTGTCACTTAGACTGGGGAGCAGTGGCACAATCACTGCCCACTACAGCCTCCACCTTTCATGTTCAAGTGATCCTCCCACCTCAGCCTCCTGAGAAACTGAGATTACAGGCACGTGCTACCATGCCTGGCTAATTTTTGTATTTTTTGTAGAGATGGGGTCTTGTTATGTTACCCAGGCTGGTCTGGAGTTCTTGGGCTCAAGTGATCTTCCCGTCTCAGCTTCCCAAAGTGCTGAGATTACAGGCATTGAGTCATGGTTCCTGGCCTATTTAATGTTAATGGTGCTAATGAGTCATTTCAAACAGGTATTTGGGGATGTAAGAAAAAAAAAGTAGAGAAAGCATGGAAGGGAAAGAGTTAGATTTAAGTATATGGAGAAGAACAATACCAGCAAGAATGCAGAAAGAGGAGAGATGGGGAAAAAGAAAAATCTAAAGGTATCATTTCTATTTTTAAAATATTCTCCATTTTATATCATAAAAATATATTTGTCCACATCCTTATTTCCCACATATACTCTTTAAAATATGTGTAAATCTGTGTCTGAGTGAGTGAGAAATTTCCATTCATTGCTGTGAAAGATTACTTGCTTTTGACTTGGACTGAGGCTCAAGTTGATAGGGAAAATAGAAACTGTCAATAGAAATAGCCTGTTTTGTTTTTTATTTTACTTATTTCTGATCTCAGTGTGACAAGTTGTTTCTTTAAACTGATGAAGTTCTATTTTGTATGTACAATGACAACATTTAAAAAATGATACAGTGAGTAGAATATAGAGAATTATACTTATTTCCACAGCTTACAAGTAGGAATAACCTGATGCTGCTTAAACCTGATCTTAACATTAAGTTTGGAGGAAGGTGACTTATGCTATTGAAGCTGCTCTGTGTTCCACCAGACATAAATTCTAAGTACCTTTCAATGATGAATTGGCATCACTTGCAAATGGCTATCAATAACCCACATGACATCAATTTGAAAAACCATGTATATCACAGAGTCGTGACTATCTGGATTGAGCTGATAATTATATGTGTATTTAAATACATAAATCATATTTGTTTTTAATCAACTGTAGCTCTTTCACGTATTTCAAAATCATACTTTTTTAGTACCATTTAGGAAGTTGATGAAAACATCTGTTTGATGCTTAATAGCATCTTCAATGATGGGACCGTATCTATTAGTACAATAACACAACCATGTCCCTCTGATTGGCAATGAGTTCTGTCTCACAGAGTCTGGATGACACACAGCCAAACTCAGTAGGGATTAATCTCTGTACTAATTTTGAAGAAATATTTTATCAGCAAGACACTACACAATTTTAAACAAAGTTAGGGAGAGAAAGTTAAAGTTCTTAAAATGATACTTGTATGCTCTCATTTTATAAATTGAAACAATCATTTTGGGAAGCAATTCTATTTATGGAAATGTAGGAAAAATTCAAATTGTATTTAGAAAACTATATACATAAATGTATTCAATACAAGATATTTAGAATATTAGATAAATAGATATAATTGATAGTCATAATAGAAAAAATAAACATGTGGCCAAGCTTATCAGTGGATAAATATGCAATATTTGAGTACAGTGAATATGGTGCACAGATATGAAAAAACACTTAAGATATAATGGTAAATGAAATTGGATGACTGCAGATGTATACATGTTTTGAATGCATCTTTGAAATGGTGGAAAATTACTCAAAAATCAAATTGATCTTTGAATATAAAGAGTAGTATGATATTTGTTTTGTCTGTTTTCAATGTGATATTTAATCTGGTTAATGTAATCATTCAAGTGACTAAAGAAAGTAATTTATGAGTTATTTTGTTACTTATAGGTGACTATATGGATGACATCTCATTTTATCTTATAAGAACTTGATGAAATTATTATTATGTCCATTTTAAAGAATAAGAAAATTTGAGCCAAAAGTGGGAACAAGATCTACTGAAGATCATACAGGTAGTTAGGAGAAGAGCTAGAACAAACCAAAAATTGAATGACTTTATGCTCAGGAGTTTTCCTCTCTACAATGCTTAAACAAATGAGTAACTCATATTTTTAAAGGTCCACTTGGTTACAAGCTATTAATATTCTTGGTATCAATCCTTTTCTTGATTTATAATAACCAAATGATCTCTGTTAATCACAGAACCACTTGAGAAGCAATTCTCATCTCTTTGCTATTACTTTTTTAATAGAGCACAATTCATTATTTAAAAAGCATAGATGAAAACCAAAGCCACAAATGAGGACAGAGGACAAAAACTAACAACCAGTGCTAGTTAAATTATTAGGAAACTTAAGGTAAACAGTGAGAATGTGTATTGTCTGACTGAATTTAGTTAACTGAATTTGGTTTAGACTAACAGACAGGAGAACTCCTGAAATGAAGTGAGATACTATGTTAGTACATATGTTATTATGTTAGCAGTTCTTTTGTATGTTTGGATTTAGACAGAAATGACACCTATCACCCAGCATTCTTTGACAATTTTGTGCAGCTGTTTATGCTACTGATATGATTTCTGAATTCCTTCTGACAGTATCACTGTCCTTAATTGTTTGTCTTAAATGATGGTGATAATAATTATGACTAATGCTTGGATAATATTTTTCAATATTTTTAACTCTACATGTATGTTCTGAAAAATAAAAATCAAATAAAATTTGTTTTTGTATTTTTATTATACAACACAGAGACAGAAAACTTCCCAAAGCGTCTATATCGTTTATTGTATAATGGTACGGCGAATACCCTTGTAACCATAAGCCAGGTCGGAAAAGAGACCTTTGCCAGCCACCCCAGATACCCACTGATGACCCCATCCTTATCACCACGCCTCCTTCTGATTATTTCTCAACTTTTACAGGAAACACCTCCCTGCATTTTAATAGATTTATCACCCAAGTATTTATCCCTAGATTCAATACTTTAACTTTTCTTGTCAATTGTATTTTTAAAGTTCTCTTTTAATCTTCAGGTTTCTCCTCCATCCCTTCCTCTTCCTCATAAATTCACTAGCTGTAGGCCATTTAATCTGCAAAATGTTTGGTAGTATGGATTGCAATGAGAATGACCCGTATTGTAGCAAACACTATGGGTACAGTTTACTATGTCCATTTGCCCTGTGTATCTCCTCCAAATAGGTGACTGCCTCCTAAGGCTTGACCATATTCAAATTCTGTCTTTTACAAAGACTATAGGTGTTTTCTATTTTTCTTTCTTTCATGTGGAGACATGCAATATCTGTGTGTCTCTCTTTTTGTGAATTGTAGCAGCAAGTTGTGATAAATACACCTGCCCTTACATCTATAGCTCTTCAATTATTTTGACTGTCTGAAATTTGTCTCCAGTATCCTCTGAGTTCTTGTGGATTGATAAAATTATGTTTGTGCCCTTTATCCAGGAGTGTAAAGTTTTCTTAGGATATAAAATCCTTGGTTCACATTTTCTTCTCTTGTGTTCTTAAGTATATTCTTCATCTTTTTTTGGTATAAATTTTTGCTGCCAAAAAGTCTGATGGTTGTCTACTTTTCTTTGCCTTATAAGTCATTTGCTTTATTATTATTATTATTATTCTTTAAGTTCTGAGGTACATGTAGAGAATGTGCAGTTTTGTTACATAGTTATACACTTGCCATAGTGGTTTGCTGAACCCAGCAACCCGTCACCTACTATCCCTTCCCTAGCACCCTCCTACTCCCAAATAGGCCCCAGTGTGTGATGCTCCCCTTCTTGTGTCCATGTGTTCTCATTGTTCACCTCCCACTTATGAGTGAGAACATGTGGTGTTTGCTTTTCCGTTCCTGTGTCAGTTTGCTGAGAGTGATGGTTTCCAGCTTCAACCATGTCCCTGCAAAGGACATGAACCCATCCTTTTTTATGGCTGCATAGTATTCCATGGTGTGTATGTGTCACATTTTCTTTATCTAGTCTATCATTGATGGACATTTGGGTTGGTTCCAAGTCTTTGCTATTGTGAATGGTGCCGCAATAAACATATGTGTGCATGGGTCTTTATAGTAGCATGATTTATAATCCTTTGGGTATATACCCAGTAATGGGATGGGTGGGTCAAATGGTATTTCTAGTTCTAGATCCTTGAGGAATAGCCACACTGTCTTCCACAATTGTTGAACTAATTTACACTCCCATCAACAGTGTAAAAGTGTTTTTATTTCTCCACATTCTTTCCAGCATCTGTTGTTTCCTGACTTTTTAATGATTGCTGTTCTAACTGGCGTGAGATTGTATCTCATTGTGGTTTTGATTTGCACTTCTCTAATGACCAGTGATGATGAGAATTTTTTCATATGTTTGTTGGCCATCTAAATGTCTTCTTTTGAGAAGTGTCTGTTCATATCCTCTGCCCACTTTTTGATGGGATTGTTTTTTTCTTGTAAATTTGTTTAAGTTCCTTGTAGATTATGGTTATTAGCCCTTTGTCATATGGATAGATTGCAAAAATTAATTAGAACTTGTAATTTTATTATTTAAAACCCTCCAATGCTATTGCATTGCTTGTAGAATTATGGAAAAGTTTTCTGCATTGTCTAGAAGGCTACACATCATCTGAACTTCTGTGGACTCTTATACTTCCACATCTAAATGCCTTTCAATATTCTCCTGCCCATTAAGAATACTCTTAAGCATATCATGCCCTTCGAGAATTTTCTCATTCCAATCACTGTGTTACATTTTTCTTCATAGTACTTGACACTATCATAAATTGTCCACTTGTTTATTATTATTATCAGTATTATTTGTTTCTTATAAGCTTCATAAGAATGGGGACATTTTACTCTTTGTTGTTCCCTATATCCCAAGGGTTGATGGAGTTCCCATCATATAACATAAATACTTACTCAACAGATGAATAAATTCGGGTTTGCGCTAAGGCTAACAGGCTATCGGTTGAATAATTTCACTACAGGTTAGTTGGCAGGATAATTTGAATTAATACTAGAAATCAAAACCAAAATGAATTAGGAGGAATAATTTTGTCTGGCTCAGGATATACTTACCAATGAGGGCATTCTAGGTGCTTCCAGTGATCTGCTTTGTGAATTTATCTGTCACCACATGTATGTGGCAGCAAGCCACTCTGTCAGTGAATGTATTACTTCCGACATTCCTCACCTTTGCTGGTTTTACATTACTACAAGCAGAAAGAAAGGAAATAAAAGAGGAGGAAGCAGTAGTTGAAAGGAGGTGAAAGAGAACATGGAAAAGCTAAGAGCAAAGAAAAGCATGAGAAAGGGAACATGGCAGATGGAGAGAGCCCATCAGTTACTAGTTGCACCATTTGCCTTGAGGTTAGGTTGCTTATCAGGTGAAAAACAGCTGAAGCTGAATTTTCTCTGTGACGAGGCTTTGTGGGGAGAGATCTCTGTGGGCTGAGTTACTATTATTAATCAACTTGACTTTTCTTCAAGTCATCATATTTTCTGACTCAAAATTTTCTCAGGCTTTCAACCTACCAAAGAGTTTCTTAATGAACTAAATAGACAAGATGTGTGGGCGTACCCATGGTTAATTTAAGTACAGTATATGGAACTTTATCATTCTTGTTTTTTTTCTCAAACTAATAACACTAGCACATGATGAGGGAAATCAACCTTGACTGCAGAAATATTCATATTTTTTAAAATATAAGGGAAAATACCTGCATAAGAGAATTGCTGCTCCAGATGTAATTGCCAACTTAGCACAGACGAGTGCTGAACTTACCGGTTCTAGCAAATGATATTTTTAAAGCAGCGATTTCTTCTGTTTTATGCACAGGGCTAATGTGGAGGTCATGCTCGTATAATGTTCAATGAAAATTCTAGTCAATTAAAATAATGTTAAGAAAATAATAATCTATCTGATTTTTGAAGTCTCTTTAAAAACTGTAACATGTAAATAGATTAGTCTTTAACTAAAATTAAATCAACTGTTTAATATTAACTTGAATTAAATGATCTTGAGAAATTGTATGACTTTACAGAATGCCTTCTGAAAAGCCAGGCATGTGATGAATTGATAAGATTGCTAGCATGATGAGTTAATGCACTAGATGGCACTCACTGTATGCCTTTCATGTATTATAAAATCAAATTTAGTGTGGAAAAATAAAGCACCTCACACTTGAAATGTTTTTATCAGGTATACTTTATGAAATTTCTTTGATATGTTATTTGTAATTTCTTATTACCGTTTTTCAGATCATCAGTAAAAGAATTAATTATAGTCACTTTGATATTAAGTGAATTTCAAATTGAAAAATATAATTCCAGGATTTTTTTTAACCTAAAGAAACTAATTTACTCCAGGCAAGATGCAAAAGTATTCTACTACAGAAGGATTATGTGATTCAATTCAAGTGAAAAGTTCTATACCAATTACATGGTTTTCCATGAACTTTACTTATCAAAAAGATTAAAGTCTCAGAAAATAAATAAATTTTTTAGATTTTTTAAACAAAGTCTAAACCTTAAAGCATGAAATAAATTTTGTGCTTTGCAAAATTCTTTCCTTGTGATTTTCAGTACACAAATTGGGAAAGTGGGAGGAGGAATAAAATCTTGTTATTTAAGGAACAAAGCAAAACTATAAATAAGACAATTTTCAAAATAAGCAGTTTCTATTTAAATTATCTTTAGAGGTAAGCTTTAGTAACTACTGTTTTATTTAAATATAAAGCATGGAAAATCATTAATACTATATATATATAGCATATATATATATAGCATTGCTATATTTGTGTATGTATATATAATAGCAATATGATATGTAATAGCAATATGATATGTAATAGCAATATGATATGTATAGCTATGATATGTAATAGCAATATGATATGTATATAATATGATATATATAATAGCAATATATGTATATTATGTATTAGCAATACTGTATATATTACATATACATATGTACACATATTTATAATACATGTGTATATATAATATTGCTGTTTATAGGTAGGTATATATTAATTTTAGGTATAAAGTATATATATAAAGTATACACCTACTTTAAAATTAATAGAAGATTGATGTTGGGGTCATTCAAGTTAATTATCAACTGGTTGGTTTAATTTCAAATTTTGATATAAATAATTTTAAATTTTTGTTACACTCAAAAACAAACAGAATGTTCAGAGTGCAGTTTTTCTTACCTAAATCAGATATTGCAATAGTGAGTAGAAATTATTAGTGGGAGCCTGCTTCAATTATTTCAATTTAGGAGTGGTTAAGGTTTGTCCTTAAACTCAGGACATCCAAAGGCCCATAATTAATTACTTGAGAAAAACTCAATACACACAATGGCCTGGGATATATGAACTTCCAAACAGTGAATAAATGTGGGTGTGCACGCGTGCACGCGCGCGCACACACACACACACACACACACACACGGGTAACATTGCATGGGGTTTAACCACCAGTGTTCTTTCTTATAAAGAGTGAGGTAAAACCCATAGGTTCATAGAAAAGTTTAAAATTTTTTTCTCTACAAAACTCCTCCATGAAAAAAAAAATTGTACTTCCAGGTGGGGTGATGATGGTAGTGGAAAGGAAGAGCAGATACTGTGATAGTGGTTATAGAAGAGGAGGAGTGAAGGCAAACAGGAGGAGGAGTAAAACAGGGAGCCATATCCACAGGAATATTTGACCTTGTCTTTCTGGATCAGAGATCTCCCCTGATAGGCTACTCTTTCTCTGGTCAGTGTTGCTTCTAAATGAATCCACACTTATTTATATTAGATGAATGATTTAAAGTAAATAAATAAATAAGTTTAATGCAAAGACTAGATCACTCCTTTGTCTCTTTCTCACTTGCTTTCTCGCTCTCTCTCTCTGGAATTGCTCAATGTTCAGTCTTTAAAGTACTTATTTTTGTTTTCCTAGTTTATATTTTGCTACTGAAGGGTCTGTGCAAACATTTCAATGTCCCCTGAAAATGTTCTCTACAAAATTCACTCTTTTATGAGTTACAGAAATGAGGGAAGAAGTTTTAAAAGATACTCTAGGTTTGAGTGCTACCTAGGAAATTCCTCCAATACTCAGAAAGCAAATTCTATAATGATTTCCTTTCTCACATTACCTTGTGTAAGGTTCTCCCACTTTCCACTGTGCTACATTAAGTTGAGGTTAACATCCCAAAATAATGTATCCATCATGTTTAGGTACACTATAGGGCACAGTGGAGACCTATAGTGTATCAACTTTTCTATCATTTTAAAGAGTGTTCACTTTGTGTATATTCTCTTTTTGAAATAAAAAATATTTAAGATATGAGGGCCATAAGCTCCTTTCTGCAAATGTGAAAGTATTTAAGTATAAGAAATTGAAAGAATGTACTAACTTTATCTTAGAGATTTCTTCGGTTAATCATTTTGTTTGCATTTTGAAACATGTACAGTTACATCATTCAAGGTAATTCACAAAATTAAAATTTACAAGGTAAGTAAATAGGTCAGTCACTCACATTCCTAAAAGATTATTTATTGTGTAATAAAGGCCTTTAATTTTTGATGATTTACATACTTTTCCCCACACAGCATTACTAAGTAAACAGTGGGATACCCACATAATTTTAGTTTTCAAAACTTTTTTATGTTAGGTTAATTTAATTTTAGGTTTCATTTATCATTAGGAAGAACCAACACACATAAATAAACACATACTGTGGTTTAGGATAAAGGTAAAGGACTAAGTAACATGGGTCTTTTTGCAGAACCATATTTGTATGAGAAGGACATTTTTCTGAATCAAGATGGAAGAGACAAATCTCCCTATTGGCCAGATTTGGCAGCAAGTGTAGGCATTTTGGTCATGCCTCTATGCTATGGTCTCTACGTAAGATTGTGGACTCTATCAGTGGAAGACATTTGGTTCCTAACTGATGCTGACTAGGTCTCTGGGTGGGTCATCAGCAGCTGAATAAGGAGGTGAGAAAATGTGTTCAGCATAGGGACAAGTCTTTAAGGTGGTGATCGGGGAGTGGATGGGGCATGTAGGGAAGAACCCATCCTACATTCAGGGCACTTACATCTCAGGCTGACTTTAATTTGTCCACCTTAAGGATAACAAAAATAGATAGATAGATAGATAGATAGATAGATAGATAGATAGATAGATAATAGAAAAAGATAGATGATAGAAAAATAGACAGATATATAGATAAGAAAAGATCTGCAATCATTTGGTACAAAAATTTACCTCTCCCCTGTGGCATGAAACAAGTACTCTTTATGCACTACCTAGTGAGAGGCACTTGCTTTGCTCCTCCAACCCCTTGTCATCATGTTTTTAGAGTATCCATATGAGTTAGAAATTATTCATAGTTTAAGGATGACAGAGCTAAAGTTGTAAGGAATTAAATGACAGAAATGGATCTTTACATAACAAAATGCCTAATGTAAGATTAATTTAACATGCAGAAAAACTCCTAGAGCCAGTATTTATGAACTTAAATGTATAATAGCTGTGGCTCAGGGAGAAGCTTCCAGAGTGGGATGAGGTTACAAGTTGGGGCTCAGGGTGCTGAATGTAAAGCTGGGATTATAGCAACATTCAGTGGGGTTGGGCATGCATACAAGGGTGACATATTCCCTGAGGACTCCACTTTTTATTTTTTTTTTAGTAGCAACACACACACACACACACACACACACACACTGCCCTAAAAGAAAAAAAAAAAAGAAGATATAAATGAGAACTAGAACAGGAAAATGTCCCAGGTAGTGATAAAGTACCATGGATTACATATAAGATTGCGTTATTTACTGTAAATAAATTCAGATTTCTAAATGTTGGGCTCTTTCCTTAATGGAAATCTATAGCTCAGTTAAAAATCATGATGCTTTCAGTTAGTTTATTGACCACACAGGATGGAAGTGGGGACAATGCAGCTTGGAGATATAAAATATAATATAGAAATAATCTGTACAACAACCTCCATGACACAAGTTTACCTATGCAACTACCCTGCACATGTACCCCTGAACTTAAAATAAAAGTTAAACAAAACTTTAGAAATCCACCAAAACTATAATTCCACCTGATTTGTTATGTTGTAGAAAAGCTCATGTGCTTTTTGCACATTAGTTTTGTATCCTGAGACTTTGCAAAGTTGCTTATCAGCTTAAGGAGTTTGTGGGTTGAAATGATGGGATTTTCAAAATATAGAATCATGTCATCTGCAGAGACAATTTGACTTCCTCTCTTCCTATTTGAATACCCTTTATTTCTTTCTCTTGCCCGATTTCCCTATGTTGAATAGGAGTGGTGAGAGAGGGCATATTTGTCTTGTGCTGGTTTTCAAAGCGAATGCTTCCAACTTTAGCCCATTCACTATGATATTGGCTATGGGTTTGTCATAAATATTTCTTATTATTTTGAGATACGTTCCAGCAATACCTAGTTTATTGAGAGTTTTTAACATGAAGTGATGTTGAATTTTATCAAAGGCCTTTTCTGCGCCTATTGAGATAATCATACAATTTTTGTCATTGGTTCTGTTTATGTGATGGATTTACGTTTATTGATCTGCATATGTTGAACCAGCCTTGCATCCCAGGAATAGAGCCAAAACTATCATCAGAGTGAACAGGCAACCTACAGAATGGGATAAAATTTTTGCAATCTGCTTGTCTGACAAAGGTCTAATATCCAGAATCTACAAGAAACTTAAACAAATTTACAAGAAAAAAACAAACAACCCCATCAAAAAGTGAGCAAAGGATATGAACAGACACTTCTCAAAAGAAGACATTTATGCGGCTAACAAACATATAAAAAAAGCTCAACATCACTGATCATTAGAGAAATGCAAATCAAAACCACAATGAGATACCATCTCATGCTAGTCAGAATGGCAATTTTTAAAAAGTAAGGAAACAATAGATGCTGGCGAGGCTGTGGAGAAATAGGAACGCTTTACACTGTTGGTGAGAATGTAAATTAGTTCAACTATTGTGGAAGACAGTGTGGCAATTCCTCAAGGATCTAGAACCAGAAATAACATTTGACCCAGCAATCCCATTACTGGGTATATACCCAAAGGAATATAAATCATTCTACTCTAAAGACACATACATTCACATGTGTGTTCATTGCAGCACTATTTACAATAGCAAAGACATGGAACCCACCCAAATGCCCATCACTGATAGACTGGATACAGAAAATGTGGTACATATGCAGCATGGAATACTATGCAGCCATAAAAAATAATGAGATCATGTCCTTTGCAGAGACATAGATTAAGCAGGAAGCCATCATCCTCAGCAAACTAACACAGGAATAGAAAATCAAACACCACACGTCCTCACTTATAAGTGAGAGTTGAACAATGAGAACGCATGGACATAGGGAGGGGAACAACACACACTGGGGCCTGTCAGGGAGTTGGGGGGGAAGGGGAGGGAGAGAATTAGGACAAATACCTAATGCATGCATGGCTGAAAACCTAGATGATGGGTTTATAGGTGCAGCAAACCACCATAGCACATGTGTACTTATATAACAAACCTGCATGTGTATCCCAGTACTAAAAACAAAAAAACAAAAAACAAAACAAAACAAAACAAAAAAACCTCACATGCAAAAGTTCAACATTGGGTAAAATTTAAGTTTCTCATTAGTTTCTCAAAACATTTTCTTAGAACTGCCTTAATTCTACACGAATAAGTCACACTGATGAAACAAAATCACATCTGAAAATTTAGTCACTTAAATTATTCTTGGTAGTAATTAAAGTATTATCATTGATAAATAATAAATTGTCTGAAACTGAAACACCCTATAGTCGCTTTTATAATCTTTGTTTCCCACCATTGAGAAATAGTAGGTTATGTCCAAGCGCTTAAAAAATATTTAATAATAATACATATAAAAACTAGAAAGTCACCAAAAATAAAATGTTACCTCTTAATGCACAAAGTAGCACAAAACTAATAGCGAAGCATTGCTACGTGGTCCACTAAACCTGATGACATCTGTAAATAAGGATAGTGTGTAATTAGCAGCTTCATCAGATAGCTATTGTTGCTTAAGTATTTTTTAATTCTTGAAAGCTTATTGGGTTTTTTTTTTGGAAGTGCCTAAATCTTTGCCTTCCAATTTGAACTTTTACTGTTGACATGATTAACCAGCTTTCCAAATAGATTCTCCAAAGATAAGTTTTAAGCTAGTTCACATCTAGTTTACCGCTCATTTCAAATTAGTACAGTAAAATTACCAGGAAGTCAGTTGTTTGCAGTATGAATAGAAGGAATGAGTCAGGATTAATAAGAAGCTGACTACTATAGAAGTGGATGCTCAGCAGAGCAAATTCAAAGGTAGAGAGAACTCCTGATCTTCATAGGCTAAGTGGACCTGCCTGCGAGATCGTCAATCTCTGATGAACAGCAAGCTTGCTATTTCATTACTCATCTCATTAAGATTTGCTTTCCTCTGCTCCTTTTGAACTCTTTTTTTTTTTTTTTTTTTGAGATGCAGTCTCACTCTGTAGCCCAAGCTGGAGTGCAGTGGCACGATGTTGGCTCACTGCAACCTCTGCCTCCAGGGCTCAAGCAATTCTCGTGCCTCAGCCTCCCACGTAGCTGAGATTACAAATATGCACCACCATGCCAGGCTAATATTTTGTATTTTAGTAGAGATGGGGTTTCACCATGTTGCCCAGGTGGTCTCAAACTCCTGAGCTCAGGTGATCCGCCCGCCTCGGACACCCAAAGTGCTGGGATTACAGGCATGAGCCACCGCGCCAGGCCTCATTCCTTTTTTTAATTGTGAGAAAACACAGTAATGCAACTTGTGAGTTGTTTTTTATGTGCTAAATTTGGACTTGAACATCATTGCCAAATACAATTCATTGGGATGAGATACAATATTGAAATATAAGAAAAATGATTGCAAAAATGTAACAGTGAGAAGAAAACACATATAAACATCCTATTTGTGATATAATTCAACGTAAGACTGTAAATCTATGTGTACACATAATATGCATAAAAGTGGCCAATGTTAAAATTGATTAACATCCCATGATACAGACTCAGGGGAATGTATTTCCTTTTATGCTTATATTTATTTTCACAGTTTTTTTTAACAGTGAGCATATATCATTTTTGTAATCGGAAGAAAATCAATCATTAATTGAGAATAAATAAAGTTTCAATTAATGTTGTTTGTACGATTTAATATTTTCATTATCTTAATTTTAAACTATCTTAAATAATCATTGTCCCATGTTGTAATTATTTTATCATTACAGTAGCATACTTCAAAATATTGTATATTTGCTACTGTGAATTTACACTAAAACATCACCAAATTAAAAGTGTTGTTGATGGCTGTGGTACACTGGAAGTGTCATTTGACAAGCAGATAATTTATTTTGTGACAGAGAAAAGTTTTTGTTCTCTAAAAACTTCCTTTCTTGGAAAGAAAAGGGAAGTAAGAGTGTTGTACCTCATAGCTGAATGACCACTTTGCAGACTTCTGCACCACCTTGGAATCAAGTCCAGATACTTGAGTATGGAGCTGTTTATGGTCTGGAAGTGATCTCTTTTTTGTATATATTTCTATTTTCTCCTCATATAAAATGTACTTTTAAAAGTCACCATATCCAAATCCCCTACCTACCATGATGTGAACAACTTTTAATTTAATCAAATTACTATTATAATATTTCAAGGAGGGAGGGGTTTCAGTATTTTATTTTCATTTATTTGCCATATAAAAAGAAATGATGGGCCAGGCGCAGTGGCTTACACCTGTAATCCCAGCACTTTGGGAGGCCGAGGTGGGTGGATCACCCGAGGTCGGGAGTTCGAGACCAGCCCGACCAACATGGAGAAACCCTGTCTCTAGCAAAAATACAAAATTAGCCGGCCGTGGTGGCAGGTGCCTGTCATCCCAGCTACTCGAGAGGGTGAGGCAGGAGAATCGCTTGAAACCAGAAGGCAGAGGTTGCAGTGAGCCGCGATAGCGCCAGTGCACTCCAGCCTGGGCGAAAGAGTGAAACTCCGTCAGAAAGAAAGAAAGAAAGAGACAGAGAGAGAGAGAAAGAGAAAGAGAGGAAGGAAGGAAGGAAGGAAGGAAGGAAGGAAGGAAGGAAGGAAGGAAAGAAGGAAGGAAGGAAAGCATCCTCATCACATTCTTGTTCCTTCTTTTTCCTTAAGCAGCGTCTTCTCTTATTCCCTTCCCTTCCCTCCTCTCCTCTCTTTTACCCCTACCATTAAAACCTCTCTGTAATTGAGGAGACTCCCTCAGAAATGCACTAGGTGGGAAAACATGCACATAGCATCATCTCTTATCCTGACTGGCCTCCTTGCTTCCACTGCCGCTTACCCAGAGTCCATTCTCAACACAGCAGCCAGCGTGAGTCCTTCAACAAGGGGTTAGTAAACAACAGCCCATGGGGCAAATCTGGCCCGCAGCCGCTTTTGTAAATAAAGTTTTATTAGAACACAGCCACACTCATTCATTTATGCATCATCTATAGTTGCTTTAATGTAACTGTGGCAGACCGGAGGCGTTTCAACAGAGAACCCGTGGACCACAAAGCCTAACTCTTAACATCTGGCCCTTTATAGAAAATAATTTTAAATTCCTGCCCAAAACCTTAAGTCTTGATCAAGTGCCTCTTCTGCCCAAAACCCTGCCGTGGCTCCCTGTGCGCCTTGGAGTAAAAGCCAGAGTCCTTGCTGTGGCCTATCAGGCCCTGCGGGAGCTGTTCTGCCTTGTATGTCTAAACCCATCTTCGGGTTGCTCTTCTTCCTTCACTGCATTCCAACTATGAAGACTTTCTTGATCATGTCAAGCAAGCTCCCCCTGTAGGGACCTTCTCCTAGCTATTTCTTCTAAGTGGATACTCTTCTTGTAGATTTATAAATGCTAACATCCTCACTTCTGCCACGGTTTGCATGGTTTATTCACAAACATGGTAAATAAATAAGCATCCGAACACACAGGATCCAATCGGAACTCTTTTCTGGTAACAGCTCTGCCATTAACTAATTCTGCTATTTTGGGAAAACAAACACTGCAGTGCCCTGGGTTCCTTATCTATGAAGTACAACGGGAAAATTTGGTGTCTTTTCAGCCTGTAAATTCTTTGAGTTTCTGCTGATTGGTCAAATATCAAACACATATAAATCAAGGTGTGTTTCTAAACTTCTGGATCTGTTTTACAGAGGATATAACTATGATGATGAAATTAAAATTCCCCCCAAAAAACCTGATTGTTTTAATGAGTATACGATATTATTTCTGGATGTGCAAAACAACCCACATGTTTGTTTCAGTTGCATGTATTTGCTTAGAATCTGATCATTTCTATTGATGAGGAAAAGCAAATGTTTAACTGGTAGACGGAAGGATGGCCAAATACATATTTCTTCAAATATTTCTATAGGCTACTTGCCACTTGTTTCATTTACTCTTAGTTTGTGTTTGGTAGGTTGATCATCATTTTTTTAAATTAAGTTTTAAAAATTCTTCGGAAAACACTTTTTTTCTGTACAAAGTTATACATTTATAGATAATATATTAAAACCACAAGGTGATTTTAGAATTTTAATTTATATATAAGCTCTTTGATTTTTTCTAAACCAATGTCTCATTTTTCAAATTAGCAAGAAGTATTATGTGAAGATTCCTCATGTCAGTTATAATATAGATTTTTTTCATTCATTTAAATTTGGTAAATATTGACAACGTGCTCAGCATAGTGCAAAGCACACAGTTTTGTCTTGGAAACAAAATGGTAAACTTTCTTGTCTTCCAAAATACATTGAACATCTCTTGTAACAGGAGAGTCTACCAATCAGAAGATGCCCTTAGTTCTTTCTTCAGTTAAGGTTCTCTAAAATGTTTTCAAATAATTAATATCCACCATTAAACTGGAAGGGACCCTAGGAATAGTTTAGGTATATTTCTGACTATTAAGATCAGGAAATTCCGTCCCAGATATTCAGTGTGACTTTTCCAAGTTCGCGTATTTAGTTAGTGCTGGAAAATAACTAGAATACAAAACTTCTGTGGTTAGGAGACAAACAATCTCAGCTCCTTAAGGGACTGGGTATTGAATTTACATTCAATCTGTAGCTACATAAATCTGCGTGTGTATTCTCTCCCAAAGACTAAGTCCCATGAATTATAAATTATGCATACAATAAGCTTTTAAAAAAATATTGTTTTTACAACTTTGTCTTTATTCTTCCTTGCAGATTTGCTAAGTGTCTATGCCATATGATTCTGCTGTTTGCGTTTGATTTAGAATGCTGAGCTGACTCAAAGTCAAACTGTAAGTACGGCCTTCAATAAAGAGTGCATGTTATATGTAGGTTGCAGATTACATTGTGAAAATGCCCATTTAAAAAAGTGATGTTACTAAAGGCATGGCAATGATGATAAGCCTCGTGGTATTGTGATAAAGAGAAACTCGATATGGTTGCTGTTACCAGTTGTAGACGGATCTGCCTAGAAGAGGCCATCGGCCATGTATTGGTGATTTATTGCTGTTCATATCACATTGCAAGCTCTAAAAATTTGCTGTGTCACTGCTAGAAACGTATTACAATCAAAATAATTTCTAGCAAACTATTGAAAATGGTTTATTTCCCAGGGATTTTTGCTAAAGATGTCATTTGAATCACCAGCCTCCCAATTCTACTTATAGAATCTTCCATTTTGTAACTCTGTTGGCACCCTCGTATTAGTTCCTATGGTCAATTTCTCTCCCCATTAAACAAAATTCATACACACTAAAGAATGCCATCAAGAGGCATGAAGCCAACACACCTAACAGTGAATCTCCCTTAAAATCTGCAGTTTTCTTCAACTTCCTAGGAACTGTTGTAGAGAGTGATTGTCTCTTTATTGCTATTATCTGAACAAAATTCAAAAAACTTAGTTTTTAGGGAAAAAGCCATTTGGCAGAACCCATTTACTCATGAAAAGTAACTGTGGTCAGACATATTTTGCTTATATTACTGGCATTCATCTTGAAGTTCTGTAAATATTTATAGTGAATTTAAATGCATGTAAATACTGTATACCATTTCAGCAGTTTAATAGGATTCATTTATAGGACATGAAAAAAATGGACTTAGTTGCCACAGTTCAAAGAACCAAAGATATTTTTCATTTATTTTCAAATGTGTATGTTTCAGAATAGTGAGGTTCACATGGAGAGAGAATGTGTGTATGTCTCTGTTCAGAATGTACTTTAGATGCAAAGTTTTAGATGTTGGTATTTGAATGGGATACAAAATTGGGAACTTGGAATTTGGGTTGAGACATCTTTCCTATGCAGTTGGGAACTTGGAATCTGGGTTGAGACATCTTTCCTATCCTTGGCATTTTAATGAGAAAATAGAAAAAAAAAAAGTATAGAGTTTTAGGACCATAATAATTGTCCTATTTTTCACTTCATTCTGCCTGTACTAAACAGTCCTGAAGACTGTATTTATACACATGCACACACACCAACACACATGTATAAAACATGTATATTCATTCTTGAACAAATTGTGATTAAGTCCTTTGATTAGTAATTTGAGAAATATTTTAGTTAGAAAATTAGTTGAGGCCGGGCATGGTGGGTCATGCCTGTAAACCCAGCATTTTTAGAGGCTGAGGTGGGTGGATCACTTGAGCTCAGGAGTTTGAGACCAGCCTGGGCAACATGGCAAAATTTTGTCTCATATGACAACATTTGGTTAACATATGACATTTTAATAGGCACTTTGCAGTCCCAGTTTTCTCAGTATATGATGTTTACTGTATTTCAGGAAAGAAGTGATCAATTAAGTAATTGGAAAAGTGTATAATGACTAAAACAAGCAAAATTGAATGAGTTACCTCATATAGCAACATGATAAATAAAAATGTTTTAACAGCTTTATATGTAATATATTGCCAAGTTCTCACAGGAAAATATATTAGTATCATTATACCCAGTTTATGGATGAGAAAATGAGACCTAAATAGATTAAATTAATTTTGAGGATTACACACCTAGCAAATAGCAATGTAGCTACTAATCCTGATTTTAAATCTGTGCATTTTCCATTTTTGCCCTACTACTTGATACTCAAAAGGATTTTTTTTTTTTTTTGACAGAGTCTCGCTCTGTAGCCAGGCTGGAGTACAGTGGCACAATCTTGGCTCACTGCAACCTCCGCCTCCCGAGTTCAAGCCATTCTCCTGCCTCAGCATCCTCAGTAGCTGGGACTACAGGCGTGCACCAATGTGCCCAGCTAATTTTTGTATTTTTTGTAGAGACGGGGTTTCACCATGTTGGCCAGGATGGTCTCAATCTCTTGACCTCGTGATCCACCTGCCTTGGCCTCCCAAAGTGCTGGGATTACAGGCGTGAACCACCACGCCCAGCCCTACTCAAAAAGATTTTAATATAAATATTTGAGAGACAATAAAAGTATACACTTGAACTTTTGCTAGGATGAAGTAGGGGACATTCAACAAAACATTTTGTTGAGGAAAATTCTATAAACCAAGTCTTGATGCTACTTGTGTATCTAAATAAGATTAAAAAGTCTGACATCAAGTGGCTAAAAATTCCATGGTAAAACTAATAAATTTACAATTAATAATACTACTATTATGTAACTAGTGTTAGGTAATGTAATAAATAAAGTATATATATACAAAGCAAGTAGATAATAATTTGGTGAAAGAAGATTAAGTTGGGATGTTGAGGTGCTGAAATTTTCTAGACAATGCATAAAATTTTACATTAAGAATGATTATTAAGTTGATCTATTCAAACAAAATATTTTTAAAGAGCCAACCAGTTACTTCATAAGGTGTAGACACTGAATTTCAATATCAGGCATCGAGATCCTTTATCACATTCTTTTTTAGCTGAAGTCAAAATATTTCCCTATTGAACTGAATTTAAATTACCTCATACATAACTTCTAATGTTGTTTTTAATATTCAAAAGTTCTGTTCCTTGCAAGACTGGTATGTGTGTGCACATGCTCTTATATGTGTGTGTCTGTGTGTGTATCTGTGTAAATGCAATGAAAAGAACTATAGAAGTTCTTTCTAATCTAATCTGAATTTAGTTCCAATACCTACCATTCTGCATCAGCAAATAAATTACTTTCATTTTTATGGTAGAGAGAATTCATGTTTTATGGGTTATAACCTGGAACTCAGTTGAAAATCTTCACATTAAGGTATCTGGATCCCTCATGTCTACAAAAGGCAAGGCTAAGTTTACATGATTTTCCAGCATAGAAGGGCATCCCAGTGGGCGTGGTGGGTGGCTTCTCACACTTTCTAGCCTGCACAGGATGGACTCTGCTGCCGTCCATGGCTCCAGACATCCAAAACACTGGATTTTCTCTGTCAGTCCTATTGTGCCAAGTTAGCACTGCAAGCCACTATTTATTTTAAAAAGTTGATAATGACCGTAGTCACGGGGAGTGCTTTCAGTGATAAACAGACTTGAAAAATGCCATTTCCCTAGTTGTCATTTTTGTCTTTTCAGTATTACATAATAGCAAGCATATTCTAGGGAACGAAAATGGCTAGGTATTTGTAATATATGTCACTCAGTGTTTCCATTCCCATCATGGTGTGGAATGTTTAATTTCTAAACCCTAAGAGCTTAATGACTACTGGTTATTTTCTCTTCTCTACAAACATTACCTGTTCCAGTTGCAGTTCATGGAATTCTGCCCATATAATAAACAGTAATAGATGAATCCCCCTCAGGGTATTCTCTGTTTCTTGGTTGAACAGATAATTTCTAAGTTACTTTTCCACTTAAGGTAATATGATTTTATTTGGATACCAGGGCTTGCAAATGTGGCCTTGCAAAGTTTTTTAATTGCAGTTAGTTTTCTATAGTAATTCCTTTTAGCAAGGCATGCCCTTATCTCAATGCTTATCCTTACCCTCACCATCAAAATGCCCTCAGAGTTACTAATTGAAGTACTATTGGACAGAATATTACATTAATACAGAGAAGATTATCCTTCAGGAAAGTGACAAGACTGAGGGAAAATTAAGAATAGTAGATACTAGTGAAGAATTTATATCTAGGTTGTAATGCTGTCCTAGAATGTCCTGATCTTATAATTCAATACACTATGCACACATATTTCATTTTATAACATAAATGTGTGCTAAAACATTGTGATTAAATATCCATTTCAATATCAATAACTGAATGGGAAAAAATCACCGCTGATTTTAGAAATTTCAAGGTTGTTCCTTCAGCAAAGCAGAGAATCCCTTTATGTTAATAATGTCTGTCAACCTTATTATCTAAAATGTTGTTTTCCCCTGCATGAAATTTTCTGTACATGAAAAATACTTGTTCTATATCAATTTTTAAAGTGAAATACTTGATTTGTATTGTTAAGTGTAACATTGAACAGTATTCAAAAGTGGACTTGTTCTATTGCCCTTCTGGGTGTGGCTAGAAGATGGTATTCAGCCACATCCTGCTACACCGTAATAAAACACATGCATATTCCAAATTCAAATGTTGAGAACTCATCATTCTTTCATTCTCCCAAAAAGACAAGCTTGTAAGTTGAAACACATTCATTCATCTAGGTGGTCCAGTAAAGCTCCCCCAAAACACTTATCTTTTCTGTGGCTATAGGTGTGACCAATAACTTTGATAATCAAATTAAGATAAGAAATTTCAACTGGGATATGTTAAATGCGAACCGAGATATGCAGAGAAATATGTAGTATCTAGAATAATTATAATCAGTAGAATCTTTATTCTAGAACTAGCTTGTGGCTTAACAATTAAAATAAAGGATTGCTTTAGGAAAGAAAACCTTGCTTTTAGTTAAGACATAAAACAAATATATAGCTACGTTTTCAATGAAAATAACATTCACAAAAGTAGCCCTTCTACATTCAGAGCTAAAGTTTTGCCCTAAGTCAGATTCTCATCCTAATCATTCTCTTCACCTTCTGGAGATTTGCTCACTAGTGACAGCCACTGACAAAAGACAAAGTCCAATAAAAGATGATGCTCTAAAAGGGATTTAATAAAACTAGGAGTGTTCTCTCGTTAAAGGAGCTGTTTGATAAGCAGAGCACTGTGCGTGTTTGCCACAGGAAGTAGCTGGCAGGGCTTTTTTTTTTTTCTTTTAAGCACATTATCTGATACTGTGTCTGGAAGGATTAATGCAGACTTTTTGTGATGTCATGTACATTTTTGATTGTAGTGATTAGAACCATGATTAAATGACCCCACACAAAGCAATAGGAAGAAAAACAGAGCTTGCCCTTTGACTTATATTTCATCTGTTTTTGGGGTTTCTTTGCTTTAAATGTGGCATAGCTATCTTATCAATAGGTTTCAGTTATCTGAACCATTTCCACCAAAACATCATTAATACATTGCCAGTGCATTTCTGAAAATTTTACTTTCATATATTTAACTATGTGATTATCTTAGTGTAAATGATTTTTTGTAAAATAATTTAGTTGTTAGATACATGAACAGATTTTTGCAAAGAAAACAAATTGCATGGCACTGTATCCTCTCAGGACATTTTGAGATAAGATGTGAAAATGATACTCATTGTAACAAAAAAGATTGAAAATAATTTTTGTAGAAAATATAATTAATTTATTCTACTATGGTGTGTATGGTGTGTGTGTGTATATATATATATACTGAAATAAAATTATGAGTAATTAACTTTATGACAGGTAACACTAATAAAGTGCAGTGGCATGTTCCTGAAATCCCAGCATTTTGGGGGATTGAGGTGGGAGGATTACTTGAGGCCAGGAGTTTGAGACTAGCCTGGGCAACATAGCAAGACTCCCATCTCTGCAATAAATTAATAAGTAAAAAATAAACAAAATATTAATTATGTGAAATAGTTTTCATTATGTTTGATTTCCACCAAAAAATGTATATATGGACATTAATTAATCTACTTTTTAATATAATTGACCATGTTCTGTAATACTTTATTTTTTATTATTATACTTTAAGTTCTGGTGTACATGTGCACAACGTGCAGGTTTGTTACATAGGTATACATGTTCCATGTTGGTTTGCTGCACCCATCAACTCGTCATTTGGAAATGACTTAGATAGAAACACCATTTTAATTGAGTTTTACAATAATTATTACTATTCAGAGACAAGTAATTTAGTGAATTTATGCATTGGAAGTGTTTGGTATAATTGATATTGAGGAAAGGTACCATGATTAGTTAAATATAAGACTCCGTAATTTTTACAATTTTAACAATAATTTTATTTCTTCAAGCTTGTTAGTTTGGGATTGTATTAAAACTACAGTGTGTGACTTAGAAAATGATAATGCTGCTTTATGGAAAATGGATTATAGGTGGGTAAGACTTCATTGCAAAAATTGTGTAATACCATCAGTGTTAGGAACCCAGTTGAAGTCTAGAAGACAGATGATAGTATCTTAGACTAGGTTGGTATTTGAATAGATATTGGTAATATCAGTAGAATTTAATAATACATTAGAAAGAAAGAAATCAGAGAAGATTCTTTTATTTTCACTTGATACTTGTGTTGTTACTTTCAATGAGATAAGAAAGACAGGCAAAGGAGAACGTTCAGGGGCAGGGGATGAGAAGAAAACAAGAATTTTATGTTGGACATGCTAAGTTAAACAGCTGCTTAACTCAGATTGGCTTCTGTGGAAGCAGAGGCTGACATGAGGTTGCTTATGAAAATGCTTTTTTGAGGAAGCCATTGCAGGAGGAATCTCTAAGGAAGCAAGGGAAGAAGGAAAGAGAAGGGAAAGTATGTGAGCAAGGGTATGGTTTCAGCTGGCATTGAGCCTCAGCAGGACCCCAGGAGGAGCTTAGAAGCATGATCTATACCCCAGAGTAGGTCCTGTCATGAGGCAATGAAGTCATATTCATCAGTCATTGACTGCAGGCTGTCATTTGGAAGATGCTTCACCTCCAGGACCAGGTGGCTTTCATCAGCTGAGTTCAGTTTCCTCCAGGAGGATGCAGCTCCTCTGTCAACCAACAGCCAACACTCACAGCCACTGGAATATGAATGCATATATAGATGTAGTGGCCTGAAGAAGATCTGGACAGGGCATCAGCTGCATCCCACTATAACATGCAAATGGAGTTCAAGAGATAAGTCAGAACTGCAGATAAACACCTGTTCATTGCAGGTGTGAAGAATGGCAAAGTGGCCCCATAATTTCTAATTTACATGAACCGACGTTTCTCTACAAGCCTGTTAGAAATAATCTTTCAGCAGGGTACGGTGGCACATGCTTGTAATCCCAGCACTTTGGGAGGCCGAGGTGGGCAGATCACCTGTGGTCAGGAGTTCAAGACCAGCCTGGCCAAATGGTGAAACCCCATCTCTACAAAAAAAAACAAAAACAAAAATTAGCCTGGCATGGTGGCGCGTGCCTGTAATCCCAGCTACTCAGGAGGCTGAGGCAGGGATAATTGTTTGAACCCAGGAGGCAGAGGTTGCAGTGAGCTGAGATCACACCTCTGCACTCTACCTGGGGTGACAAAGCAAGACTCTGTCTCAAAAAAAAAAAAAAAAAAAAAGAATTAATGGATTTTTCAATGCCTCTCGTGAAAAACTTCTTCAGTCATCCACAGAATCCCAAGCTTCCCAGGTCACGGGGCCCTCATCCTTACACTACATCACAGGCTGGAGATGAGACAAGCATTCTCCATCAGCAGTTACAGATTCTCACTTTTATTTATTGAAGAGACTATTCTTTCCCCATTGTGTATTCGTGGCATTCTTGCCGAAAAATCAGTTGACCATAGATGTGTGTATTTATTTCTGGGCTATTTGGTTCCATTGGTCTATATGTTTACAGGTCTGTCATTATGCCAGATCCATACTGATTTGATTACTGTAGCTGTGTAATAGATTTTGAAATCAGGAAGTGTGATGCTGTGTCCGGAATTCGTGGGTTCTTGGTCTTGCTGACTTCAGGAATGAAGCCGTGGACCCTCGCGGTGAGTGTTACAGTTCTTAAAGATGATGTGTCCAGAGTTTGTTCCTTCTGATGTTCGGACGTGTCCGGAGTTTCTTCCTTCTAGTGGGTTCGTGGTCTCGCTGGCTTCAGGAGTGAAGCTGCAGACCTTCACGGTGTTACAGCTCTTAAAGGCGGCGCGTCTGGAGGTTTTCGTTCCTTCCATCTGGAGTTGTTCGTCCCTCCCGGTGGGTTTGTGGTCTCGCTGGCTTCAGGAGTGAAGCTGCAGACCTTCGCAGAGAGTGTTACAGCTCATAAGAGCCACAGGGACCCAAACAGTGAGCAGCAGCAGCAGTTGCAAGATTTATTGTGAAGAAGGAAAGAACAAATCTTCCACAACATGGAAAGGTACCCAACCAGGTTGCGCACCTGGCTTGGGTGGCCTGCTTTTATTCCTTTATCTGGCCCCACCCACATCCTACTGATTGGTCCATTTTACAGAGGGCTGATTGGTCTGTTTTACAGAGAGCTGATTGGTCCATTTTGACAGGGTGCTAATTGGTGCATTTATGAACCTTGAGCTAGACACAAAGTGCTGATTGGTGCATTTATGATCCTTTAGCTAGACACCAAAGTTCTCCAAGTCCCCACTAGATTAGCTAGACACAGAGCACTGAATGGTGCATTTACAAACCGTGAGCTAGACACAGAGTGCTGATTGGTGCATTTACAAACTTTGAGCTAGACAGAGTTCTGATTGGTGCGTTTACAATCCCAAAAGTTCTCCAAGTCCCCACCCGACCCAGAAGCCCAGCTGGCTTCACCTCTCAATGGCACTCTCTGAGGGACTTTGCGGAACCTATCCCTGGCAGCCCAGAAGGAGTTTGTCCCCAGATCAAGCCCAGCAGGCGCCAGCCCAGGAGCACCACATGCAGCCTGGGCTCCCGCCCATGCCTCCCCCTCCACACCTCCCCGCGAGCAGAGGGAGCCCGCTCTGGCGGCCTTGGCCAGCCCCAGAGTGGTGCCCCCACAGCACAGCAGTGGGCTGAAGGGCTCCTTGAGCACAGCCAGAGCAGATACGGAGGCTGAGGTGGTGCCCACAGTGAGCGAGGGCTGCTAGCACGTTTTCACCTCTCAATGCCTCTAGCTTTGTTTTTCTTGCTCCAGATTGGTTTGGCTATTGGGGTCTTTTGTGGATCTATGTGAATTTTTGGATTTTTTTTTCCTATTTTTGTAAGAAATGCCATTTTGATAATGGGATTTTGAAAATGATTGCATTGAATCTCTAAATATCTTTCGGAATTATTAGACAAATTATATATCTGATAAAAGGTTAATATTCAAAATATATAAATAACTTCTATAAGTCAATAACAAAAACTAAGTAAGTTGTTAAAAAATTGACAAGAAAGTGAGTAGACATTTTTCAAAAGAAGACATAAAAATGAACATGTATATAAAAAGGTGTTCAACCCCAATAATCATCAGGAAAATGCAAATCAAAATCACAATGAGATATTACCTCACCCTGTTGGGATGGCTATTATCAAAAACAAAACAAAACAAAACAACAAAGACAACAAATATTGGCAAGAATCTGAAGAAAAGGAAACCCTTACACACTTGGTGGTAGGTAAATTGGTGCCACCACTATGAAAAACAGTATGGAGGTTCCTAATAAAATTAAAAGTGGAATGACCACGTGACTCAGCAATCCCACTCCTGGGTATATATGCAAAGGAAATAAAATCAGGATCGTAAAGGGATAGCTGCATTCTCACTTTTATTGCAGCATTATTCACAATGGCCAAGACTTAGAAGCAACCTAAATGTCCACTGACAGATAAATGGATAATAAAAATGTGAAATATATATATATATATATATATATATATATATATATATATATAAAGTAAAATATGATTCAGCCTTTTAAAAAGAAAATTCTGTCATTTTCTTTGGAAAAATAAACCTGTATGACATTATGCTAAGGGAAATAAGCTAGACACAAGAAGGGTAAATACTACATGATACATGATCTCACTTATGTGATGACTCTAAAGTGGTCAAACTCCTAGAAGCAGAGAGTAGAATGGTGTTTGCCAGGGGACTGAATGGTGAAACAGGGAAGTATTAGTCAAAAAGTACAAAGTTTTGTTTATACAATGTAAGTCCTAAAAATTTTATGTCCTGGTGAATATTAAATATGTTCAGCTTCTTGTAAGTTAATCATACCTCAATAAGTAGTTTTATAAAAAGTAAAAGTATGTCAGCCTACAATTCTATAATACACAGTGAAAGTATTTCTCAAAAATAAAGGCTAAATAAAATATTTTTCAGACATAATAAAAGCTGAAAGAATTAATCACCAGCAGATTCACATTAAGAGAAAATTAAAAAGAAGTTGTTCAGGCAGATGGAAAACAATATTAGATAGAATATGGATCTACAAATATACACATGAAAAAATTAAAATAAAAATGAAGTTAATTATAAATGGTAAATGGGTTAAGATATGAGGTTTTAAACAAATCTCCTGTAAATTACATAAATACTACGAGAAAATTCCATCAAAAGTAACCTGTAAAAATAAAACATTTTAAAAATCAGTGAAATGGAAACCATAAAGAAAATCAATTGAACCAAAAGTTGACCCTTTGCAAAAAATGAATAAAATTGATAAACCTTTGGCTAACTCAATTAGAAACTATTCAAGAAGGCAAATATGTTGTTTAAAAATTTCCACAGGAGGATAAAAAATCAAAAACACAAATAAATATCCAAGCTTCTGGCTTTATTACCCATCAACATGTGATGGATTATTTTAATGTTGCATATACACACAGAGAGTATTCAGCAATAAGAAGGAATATATCAAATATTTAAGTAAAACATCATACAAATTCCAGACAACATTTTTAAAACAGTGAAGAGGAGGGAACACTTCTAACTCATTCAATGCAGCACGCATTACCCCAACACAAAAATAGACAGATGAGAAAGAAATCTATAGCCAACATTATTTATAAACTTTTATACAAAAATTCTAAATAAGTTTTAGCAAATCAAATCCAACAGTGTAATATAAAAAGAGTACACCATCATGACTAAGTTTATCTCAGGAATGCAAGGTTGGATTAATATTTGAAAATCAAATAATTTATCATATTAAGAAACTAAAAACTGAAGTCATATGATCATCTTAATAGATGCAGAAAAAGCACTTGACAAGATTCAACATTGATTCCTAACAAAAATTCTCATCAAACTGGAAATATTAGACCACTTCTTCAACCTGATTAAGGGTGACTATGAAAGTTTGACAGCTGTGTTAAGATGCAATTTCCCACAAATTGATTTGTAGCTTCAAAATCCTAGCAATAAATATTGTAGAAACTGATGACCAGATTTTACAATTTACATAGAAATGCAAAGAACCTAGAATAGCCAAAACAATTTAAGAAAAAGAGAACAAAGTTGTAGGGCTAGCACTACCTTGTTTTAAGACTTTGTTATAAAGCTAGAGTAATCAAGGTAGTGTAATATTGTGAAGACAGAAAAATAAATGTAATTCAATAGAGGGTCAAAATATTGACCCAATTGACTTTTGATAAAGGTGCAAAGGCAATTCAATTGAATAATGGTAGTTTTTTAAAAAGTGTTCCTGGAATAATTAGATATCCATATGTATAAAAAAGAGAAGTAGGGGAGGAGAGGGAGAAGAAGAAGTAAGGAAAGAAAAGAGAAAGAAATTGGATGCATATTTTAAACAATATACAAAAATTAACTCACAATGTATCAACTGATGTCATATTTAAATATAGCTTATACAATTGATATGTTAGACCTAATCAAAATTTAAAACTTCTGTCTTTGAAAGATAATATTAACAAAATGAAGAGACAAGCCATAGACTAGGAGAATATATTGCAAAGTATATATCTGATAAACAACTTATATTCATAATATGTAAATCATATAACAAATGTCAAAATTTAATAATAAATTATTAAGTAGTAAGAAGAAATTTGTTGTATAATAATAAGAAATTAAATAGTAAGAAGACAATCAATTCAAATAAATGAGCTAAAGATTTCAACAGATACTTGGCCAAAGAAAATACAGGAGTTTCTGTAAATAAGTACAGGGATTCTGAGTATCATTTGTCATGAGGGAAGCAAAAATTAAAGCAATGAGATTTAGCTACATAGCTAGAATGGCTAACATTTAAAAATATCAACCATACCAAATATTGGCAACAATAAGGAAAAACAGGAAATTTGTGCACTGTGACTATAGTGAAAATGCTACAAACACTTTTTAAATCAGTTTGACCATTAACATATACTTACCTATGGTCTAGCCATTTCACTCCTAGGCATTTACCTTAGAGAATATATCCATGAAAATTCTTTTAATGAATTTATGGATGATAGCCAAAAAGTAGAAACAATCCAATGTCCACCAACAGGTGAAAGGATTTTTAAAAGATTGTATATATCCATGCAATGAGTATTTGAAACCAGCCCAATTGTCCCATAGGACTGATGTGTATGGTTGTTTTGAATAGACATAGAAATTGACCCTCCCAGTCTTGAAACATGAGTAAGTTACATTTGTTTTCTCTGAGTTCCTTTCTCATCCAACCATCAGGCCTCCCAGATAGTAGCAAGACATTGAAACTTACCAAATCACAGCATCTGGGCAATGGGAGGTGAAACCACTCTTTTGTCATGATTGCCTAACCCACTACCTGCTTCCTGTTGACTGACTCCTCTTCTTTGCTCCTCCCTAACTCTTGTTCTTCCATGCATGGTTACATTTCTTCTCTGCTATATAAAGCCTTAATTTTAGTCACTCAGGCAGTTGATTTGAGACTGATTTCCCAACTCCTGGGCCGCAGCACCTGATTAAAGCCTTCTTGCCTGGCAATACTCACTGTCTCAGTGATTGGCTTTCTGTGCAGTGAGCAGCAGGACCTAGACCAAACCCCTGGTGTTTCAGTAACATATTCCGTAAAGAAAAATGAAATATTGGTACCCATTATAACATAGGTGAATGTGATTGTGCCGAATGAAGGCAGCCATAAACAGAACACATACTGTATATTTTCATTTATATAAAACTCTAGAAAATGCAAACAGTCTAAAGTGATCAGCAGAGCAATGTTTGACTGAGAGGGACAGGGTCGTGGAGGTCTGACAGAAACATATTCCAAAGGGCCTGAGGAAATTTTGGGGTGTGATGATATGTTCACTATCTCTATTGTGGTGATGGCTTCATGGGTGAATATATATGTCAAAATTTACTCAAGGTTAAGCATTTGTTTATTAAATAGCACAGATTTCCACCCCCATTTGGTTTATCTAGTTTCCATTTGTAGTAACTAATAGAAAAAACTCTAAAATGCATCGGGAGGGAAACACATTTAAAGCTCTGGAGGCATAAAAACCTGCATATAAATTCAGGCTGCACCGATTGATAAGTGTGTTACTTTCTCAATTTACTTATTCTTTCTTAACCTTAGTTTTCTCATCAGCAAACTATCTTAATTACATGACTTTGTAATCCATAAAGCTTGCTTCAAGCTCTTAGCATGCACACAGCACATCTGCAAAAGTAAGCATTTGCCACTTTCGGTTCTCAGGATAACATATTCACCCTTCCCTACCTACTAGCAAGCTGTGCTCACAAGATTAATCAGGTAGTGCTAGAGAGAAGAATGAGGTGGTTGGGGCTTAGGAAGAGAGTTATTCAGATAGAGTGTGCAGAGAAAGTTTCTCAAAGCAAAGGCAATTTAGCAGAGACTTAAATGCTGTGAGAGAGAAAGCCATGGGGAAATACAGAGGGAGAGCATTCAAGGTGGAAAGAGCAAGTGCAAAGACCCTGAGGCCATGAGCTTGGCTTATTCCCCTGTGAGCCAAAGCATGGAGTCAGTGGCAGGAAGTGATGCTGGAGAGATAGGCAGGTACTAGTTCATGTTGCCCTTCATAGGACTTTGTAAAACATGCACTAGTTTTACTTGTTTGATTATCAGTGTATAGATAAGCTATTAGAAGGCTTTAAGCAGGGCAGGGATCTGATGTTTTAGGTTTAAAGGTGTTCCTTTGCTGCTCTGAGGGTAAAAAACTGTAAGAATGCAAGAACATTAGCAGGGAGACCAGTGCCTTTGAGGTTCTCTCTTCCAAACAATGACTCACTCTTGCTACAAAGTGTGAAACATCTCTAGGAAAAAATCTCACAGAGCTTATTCTGTGAAGTTATCAGTTTCACCTACACATAAATTTTACTTCTTTGTAACTTGCACATATGAATTGTTTTTAAAATGACATTTTTACAATGCATATGCTTCATTTAACCTTTCTATAGCACTTTCTAAAAATGCTGTATGTAATAGAAAATAAATATTTATTAAAAAAGAAAATTCCATTGCTAGTCTTAAAATTTCCTCCCCACATATTCTTTCCACTTCTAATTCTGATTCTCTTTTAATTTATGTTATTCATTTTCAAGGCTTGTCATATTTGTTTTCATCTATGTTGAAGTATAATTGACAAAAATTATATATATATATATAATTTATATATAATAATACGTATATATGACTTAATGTTTTGATATACATATACATTGTGAAATAATGATAGCAATCAAGATAATTTAATGTATTCATCACCTCATATAGTTACCATTTTATTTTATTTTTTTCTGTGGTGAAATCAATTAAGATCTACCTTCTTAGTAAAATTCAAACACACATTTCAGTTTTGTTAACAATATTCACATTGCTGTGCAGTGGGTTTATAGGGAATTTTCATCTTGCATAACTGAAACTATGTATTGCTTGACCATCTCCCCATTTTCCCTGTTCCCTGGCCCCTGGAAAGACCATTCTACTCTCTATTTCTATGAATTTGACTACTTTAAAGTCTACATATAAGTGATGTTATGAAGTATTTTTCTTTCTATGTCTAGCTTATTTCCCCTTAGCATAATGTCCTCCAGGTTCATCCATGTTGTCTCAGATGGCATTGAGGATTTCCTTGTGTTTTAAGGCTGAACGATGTTCCATTGTGTATATGTAGCATATTTTCTGTATTTATTTTTCTGTACTGGGCGTTTAGTTTGTTTCCATATCTTGGCTATTGTGAACAATGCTCCATTGAACATGAGAGTACAGACACTTCTTTGAGATACTGATTTCATTTCCTTTGGATATGTACTTAGAAGTGTAATTGCTGGCTCATAAGCCAGTTTGATTTTCATTTTTATTTTTTGAGGAAACCTTTTGGCTATACTAGTTTACTTTTCTTGAAAGTGTAAAAGAGTTCCCTGTTTTCTACATCCTTGCCAATATTTATTGTCTTTTTGATAACAGCCATTTTAACAGGTGTGAGGTGGTATCTCATCTTAATTTGATTTGGATTTTCCAGATTATTAGTAATGTTAAACACTTTTTCATAAACCTGTTAGCCATTTGTTTGTCTTCCTTTGATAAAGGTCTATTTAGGCCTTTTGTCCATTTATGATTGAGTTATTTGAGGGTTTTTTGCTATTCCGTTATATAAGTTCTTTACATATTTTATATGTTAACTTCTTATCGCATAAAAGATTGGCAAGTATTTTCTCCCAATTTGTAGGTTGCCTTTTTACTCTGTTAATTGTTTCCTTCACTATGCAGAGGCTTTGTAGTTTCATGCAATTACACTTGTCCAAGTTTGCTCTGTTCTTTTGATGTCATAACTAAAAAATCATCTCCAAAACCAATGTCAAGATTTTCCCCTATGTTTTATTCTAATAGTTTTCAGTTTCATATTGTATGTTTAAGTCTTTAAACTATTTTGAGTTGATTTTTGTGCTTGGTGTAAAATAAGGGTCCAATTTCATTCTTCTGCATGTGGCTGCAGTTGGAGATACAGTTTTCCCAAAACCGTTTTTTTTTTTTAAATCCTTTCTTCATTGTGTATTCTTGGCACCCTTGTTGAAGAACTGTTGGTCATAGATGTGTAGATTTATTACTGGGCTGTCTATGCTGTTCCATTGTTTTATATATCTGTTTTTATACCAGTACCATACTGTTTTGATTACTATGGTTTTGCAATATATTTTGAAGTCAGGAAGTGTGATGCATCCAGCTTTCTTCTTGTTCAAGGTTGCCTTGGCTATTCAGGATCTTTTGTAGTTCCATATGAATTTTACAATTGTTTTTCTCTATTTCTGTAAACAATGTCCTTGGGATTTTGATAGACATTGCATTAAATATGTAGATCACTGGAGGTAGTGGGAACATTTTAATTCTTCCAACCAATCCATATAAAGGGATATCTTTCCATTTAGCTGTATCTTCTTAATTTTCTTCATCAATTTTTGAAAAATTTTTCATTGTACAAGTCTTTCACCTTTAGATTTTATGGACTGGAACAAGGAGTTTACTTTAGTATTTTACTTGGAGAAATAAAAAATTCTATAAAACCAAAAAAGCCACAGTGATAAATATAGAGTTAGGTTGCAGTAAGAGACTGTATTTTGTTATTCATGCAACTCCATGGCAAACATGAAAAGATTTCTCTTTAATACTAGACTCTTATTGACACTTGAAGGTTAGCTAATAGAGAATGCATAATATAATAGTATGGTAACCTAGACAACTGAAAGGCATGAGATAAAGATGATACGGGGAAAAATGTGGAATATTTGTAATAATAAATGAAGGTTGAGACAAGGTATTTGCAAGCATATCAATCTCTTACACTAGTAAGAGGCAAAATAACTAATGGTTTGTTGAATTCTGAGAGACTAAATGTGGTAAATTAAAACTAAAACAGTGAAGATTTAGGTTCAACATTGGTAGAGAAATCAATAGGTTGGTGAAAATAAATAATTGGAGTAGTTTATATAAAACATATTTGTAGGTAGGCCTTTATGTATTGAATTTTTAAAATGAAACTTATTCCAGTCCATAAAAATAGAGGTAAATGACTTGTACAATATGAAAAAAATTATGAAGAAAATTAAAGAAGATACAGATAAATGGAAGGACATCCCTTTCTCATAGATGGGAAGAATTAATATTGTTAAAATGTTCATACTGCCCCCACTGATCTACATATTTAATGCAATGTCTATCAAAATCCCAACGGCATTCCTTACAGAAATAGGGAAAAACAATTCTAAAATACATATAAAACTAAAAATGAACAGAATGCTACCAAAAGGGAAATGTGGAGGAGACTGGGAAATGTATATGCTGCTTAGAGTTTCAAATACATAATCCTCTTTGTTTGAAGTTCTTTTATGCTTTATTCCTACTTCCAAAGTAACCAGCACAACATTATTCAGACACTTGAGGATTTTGAAACAGAAATACACTTAGTTCCCAGTGTTCTCCACTGCAAGTATGGAATCCAGCCCCCTTTTCCCTCACTTCCATGTGTACTCTTTCAAAATTCCTTTACCAGATGTCCCCATTCTTGTGTATTTGTTTTGTTAAAAAGAAACAAACACAAAGTAATTGTCCAAGGTAGACAGGATAATGTCCTCCCACCAAAGATGTCCATGTCCTAATCCCCAGACCCTGTAAATATGTTACATGGCAAAGGGACTTTGTAAATTTAATTAAGTTAATGACCTTGTGGTGGGAGATTATTGTGGATTATTCAAATTGGCCCTAACTAATCCCATGATTTTTTGAAAGTGGAGAAACTTTTCAGTCTGTAGTTAGAGAAAGATGTGAGGTCGGAGTGTTAGAGAGATGCAGTGTTGCTGGCTTTGCAGATAGGGGAAAGGAGCCAGGAGCCAGGGACTGGAGGCAGCCTCTAAAAACTAGAAAAAGCAAAGCAAGAATTCTCCCCTAGAGCCTCCACACAGGAATCTAGTACTGCCAGCTCCTCAGTGTTAGTGTGGTGAGACCTGTGCTGGACTCCTTGCAGAAGACTATGAGATAATGGTCTTGTGTTGTTGTAAGTTGCTGAGTACATGATCACTTATTATGGCAGCAATGGGACACTCATACACTGTTGCGTCATGGGGATTTGGAGATGGAGCAAAGGTAAATTCACATGTTCAATCTGCCATCTTAACTGGAAACTCTTCCCTTTTTAATTAAAAATTTCACTTACATTGTTGGAAATTCAGAATGCTGAATTAGAGCTAAATTGTATTTTTAAAAAGTACTTTTAATATCCCTGCCTCTCTTTTTTGGAAATTACAAATGTTGGAAGTTTTTTTGTGTATTTTTCCAGAGACTTTTTATGCCATATATTTATATTTAATACATATTATACATATTCTTTTGTTCTCTGATATTTATGCTTATCAGTGTCTTAGAATATGTCCCATACCAGAATCTGGTTTGCTAATTCTTTTTTTCTAGCTTTAGATATAAGTATATCATAATTTATTCAACTAATACCCTACAGATGGACATGAATTTTGTTGCAAAATTTTTGTGATTTTAAAGGTGAAACAGTTTGCCTTGTAATAAATCAAGTTATCCAGTACATGTTTCAAAACAGACATTAGAGAAATCCCTGGAAGTAGAAGAGCTGGGTTAAAAGGTTAGCAACATCTGTAATTTTGACATATATAATATTTTAGCAGTGGGTATTTATTTCTAGATAAATTAAAATAATAATAATGATACAGCGCAAAACGATAAAAGCTGAAAGGAAAATATGGTGAGGTATAAATGTAGAAAGGACAGAGATTTCTCCTCCAAATACTGTTTCTCTTGGCCCATAATTTAATCATTAAAATATCAAAGATAAAATTGTAGGGCAAATAAAATATCCCACTTGGACAAAAATCAGTAGTATTTCTATACACCAAAAACGTTCAAGATGAGCATCAAATCAAGAACATGATGTCATTCCAAATAGCCACAAAAAGTTGAAATACCTAGGAATATGGATAACCATGGAGGTGTGAAAGATCGCTACAAAGAGTGCTACAAAATACTGCTGAAAGAAATTCAAGACAACACAAATAAGTGTAAAAACCTTCCATGCTCATGGATTGGAAGACTCACTATCATAAAAATGACCATACTGCCCAAAGCAATTTACATATTCAATGCTGTTCCTATCACACTACCAATGTTATTTTTCACAGAATTAGAAAAAACTATTCTAAAATTCCTATGGAACCAAAAGGAGCCCAAATAGCCAAGGCAATCCTAAGCAAAAAAATAAAGTCAGAGGCATTGCATTACCTGACTTCAAACTGTACTACAAAGCTACAGTAACCAAAACAGAATGGGTAAAGGCCTGGCAGCTCAAGCCTGTAATCCTAGCACTTTGGGAGGCTGAGGCAGGAGGTCTCTTGAGCACAGTATTTCGAGTCCAACCTGGGCAGTAAAGTTAGACCCTGTCTCTATGAAAAATGAAAATATTAGTTGGGTGTTGTGACACGTATCTGTAGTTCCAGCTACTCAAAAGGCTAAGGAGGGAAGTATAGCTTTACCCCTGAAGGCTGAGGCTTCAGTGAGCTGTGATCATGCCACTACACTCCAGCCTTGGTAAAGAGTGAGACACTTTCAAAAAAAAAAAAACAAAAAAAACAACATAGACCAATGAAACGGAATAAAGAACTCAGAAAACACAACTATAACCATCTCATCTTCAACAAAGCCAATTAAAAGCAAGCAATGGGGGAAAGACTCCCTATTAAATAAATGATGTTGAGCTAACTCGCTAGCCATATGCAGAAAACTGAAACTCTATCCATACCTTCTACATATATGAAAATAAACTCAAGATGGATTAAAGATTTAAATGTAAGACTCAAAACTATAAAAATCCTGGAAGATAACCAAGGAAATATTCTTCTTCCTGACATTGGCCTTGGCACAGAAATTTTGGCTAAATCCCCAAAAGCAATTGCAACAAAAGTTGACAAGTGGATCCTAATAAAACAAAAGAGCTTCTGCACAGCAAAATAAACTAACAACAGAATAAACAGACAACTGACAAAACAGGAGAAAATATTTGCACACTTTGCATCCAAGAGAGGTCTAACATTCAGAATTTATTAATGTGAGGAACTTAAATCAACAAGCAAAAAACAAGCATAAAAACTAATTAAAAATGGGCAAAGGACATAAACAGATGCTCTCAAAAAAAGATATACTAGTGTCCAACAAACATATGAAAAAATGTGCCACATTCACTAATCATCAGAGAAATGCAAATCAAAACCACAGTGAGATACCATCTCCTGGCAGTCACAATAGCTATTATTAAAAAGTCAGAAAAATAACAGATGCTGGCAAGGCTGAAGGGAAAAAAAGGAATGCTTACATACTGTTGGTGGGAATGTAAATTAGTTCAGCTACTGTGGAAAGAAGTTAGGAGATTTCTCAAAGAACTTAAAACAGAGCTACCATTCAACCCAGCAGTCCCATTACTGGGTATATAACCAAAAGAAAACAAATTAGTCTACCAAAAAGACACATACACTTTTATGTTCATCACAGTGCTATCCAAAATGGCAAAGACATGGAATCAATGTAGGTGCCTATCAACGGTGGATTGGATAAACAAAATGTGGCATATATACAACATGGAATACTATGCAGCCATCAAAAGAATGAAATAATGTTCTTTGCAGCAACATGCATGCAGCTGTAAGCCATTATCCTAAGTGAATTGATACAGGAACAGAAAACCAAATACCACATATTCTTACTCATAAGTAGGAGCTAAACATTGGGTACTCGTGGACATAACAATTGGAACAATAGACACTGGGGACTACGTGAAAGGGGAAGGAAGGAGGAAGATAGGGCTGAAAGATTACCTATTGGGTACCATGTTCACTCTCTGCTGACAGGATCCATACTCCAAACCTCAGCATCATGCAATATTCCTAAGTAACAAACCTTCTGTATATAAAATAAAAGTTGAAGTCATTTAAAAAGAAAAAGAATCACAAAGACCACAAGGAAAAAAAAATCTGCAAAAACAAAGAAAAAGATATTCCACTTGGCTAGTAAACTTATAAGATTCATTGTAAACTGCAAATATAAGTAAAACCAATAGAGACTTTGTTACATGACAAGTGCTGAAAGCAACTGCTTGTTGAATTTTCCTGCAATACGCAGTAGCAGGCATGAAGGCCCGAGCATGCTAGGTTATGCTGCATTGGAGGAAGTGGAAGAAGGTCAGGAAGAAGGAGAAGAGAGGCAGTGGTGAGAGGAGAGGGGCCAGAGTGGAGAGATAGACCATTGCAAGAAAGTCAGGTTTAATCTTAGAGGTACAGAGAAATCTTAGCAATCTTATTTGTTTATTCTTTCTCTTTTTTTTTGTATTTTTAATTAGATAGTTTTTTTTTTAACAGAAGAAAATGTGAATTTGGACTAAATAAATTCAGATCACAGTGTGATCCTTGAAATTTGAGTGAAATAAATTTAGTCTCAATAAAAATAAGACGAATTACATTTTTTATTTCAATAAACGAGGATATGTTGGTATCTCTAAAAGCTACAATGAGTAGATGATGTAGAGATTTAGAAAAAGTTAGAGAAAGGAAAGAATTTGGGAAAATGCTTGGGTGGTAGTTAGCCAAACACTCATAATTATATCGAAAATATAATTATGACCTTCCATTCCTTAATTAAACTGGATTTAATCTCAGATGTCAGCTCTTACTTTCCTTAAATGACCAGTCCTTGGCACCAGTCCAGTGTAGGGAATACTCTCAAATATCATAACTAGGGCACCCAGAATTTCCATCTTTCCCTTAGATAATCTGTTCTTGATTCGATTTGCGCTATCCATATTACCTTTAATTAATATACACTCGTATTCACACTCATATTCAGTTAGAAACAATTAACATTCACTAGAATTTCATAAACTTCTGGAAAATAGAAGCAGTAGTGTTATTAGTTTATTGCCACTCCTACACATAAAGAATTATATTTAAAATGAAGAGAAACCTTATTTGGTTTACATAAAAAATTCATTACAGTATTCCTACTCCTACATTTGTCCCTATCTGCCTGGATGCCTTCTATGGCTCTCTTTAAAGTTTGCCAAAGAAAACACTTATATTTTCCTGCCGTTAAAGCATCAAAGCTCCTACACAGAAACCCATTCCCATGGAACCCAAATAAAAACATAAAGAAGACTGTTGATAGACTAAATACATTTCAAGCCTTTTCCAGGTTTCTATTTAAACACACAGTCTGATTTTCACTTAGTTGGGTCTCTTCTCTATTAAGCCCTGGGCACACGGACCAGGACTTACTTTTACAGCGTTGCAATAGCAATGATGACAGCTAAGGCTAAACAGGCTCACATTCGATCTAGCAGTGCTAGCCGAAGCACATTATACAGATTATTTTATTGGAATATCAGCAATGAATGCTAACAGAATCTTTCTTAGTACTGGCACCCGAGACATAACAAGTATTTAATAATTGTTGCATCAGGACTGAATAATTTCTAAATTTGGTATATATGCCATGGTCTGAGCCCCAGAAGTCTAGGGAAGGTTAGCTGACAACATGCAAAGCTAAATTTGGCTTCCATTGTTAGTTTGTCCAAATTTTCAAACCTCCCTTTGTGTGGATGCTGGTGCTTATGGTTTAGAGTTATGCTCTTGGATTAATTAACATATCAAACAAAGTGTTACTGTTTTTATAACAGTTAACTAAAATATTAAACTGCATTTGCCTTCATGTGTTCTTCCTTTTTGCTTTTTTTTTTTAAATATAAACTTTGCCTAAGAGACAATTTAAGATACTACATGAAATACAAACTTAAGTTGAAGAAACGGCATGAGAATGTTGAATACCCAAATGATTGTTTAGAGCCACGCCAAAGGAATTTCTGAAATGATTACTGTTTCAAAAAGAACTTTGTTTTTTTATTTTCATTTTTTTCCCTCAATTCTAGAGCCTTACATTGTGGTTGAGTTTATAGGTTATTTATTGGCTTTAGGAAGGAAGAATGATCTAATTATCCCTACGAAATAAAAAAACACCTGATAGAGGCCCTCTTATAACTCAGTTAGCCATATGTGGGGCATTGACACCCAGGACGAGACTGATAATATTACGCAGGAAGTAACAGAAATTAATGAATCCCAGGAAATCGGGAGACATTTCTCAGGTCAGATTGTGTAGGTGTCCCTTAGCTAACAGGCAGAGCAGGGTATGTGCATTCTTCTCACAAACACAGCTTGAAACATAGAAGAGAACACTCATTACAGAGACAGAGAATCTCATGATTCTGGAAAAAAGAGTAGAATCATTCCAGGGCAAATAAAAAGTGCACCTTGAATTGGTGTTACCTTTGTTTTGTGCAACCCACAGCAAAGATTGGTAGAACTGCAGAAATTGTTGAGGAAGTTTCCAACACTCAAAGCACTAAGCGAGGCATCGACACAGACAAATAAATTAAGAAATCTCTGCAACTGTGATTCCAAAACTGAGTGGACTGCAAGCCTTAGAGGAATAGCCATGTTTGCATAAACCCCATGTCTATGGCAAACAGGGCCATGCCTTGAACATATCCAAGCAGACCTGACATTCTCCATCTTTTAATGTGCCCAAAGGACTCCAAATTTATTTAAAACAACAAATGTGGGCCGGTGGAAGATGGTATCAAATTGAATTTCTAGTTCAGAAATTTATAAAACATATTTTTAAGGTTAGTTAATTTAGTAAAGAATATATTGCATGTAGTTTGTGTCTGGTTTTCCATCCAAAATACCTCATCCAGGACTCATTCCACTCAGTTTTGAAGTTAAAGACTGTTTGAGACACATGTCTCTTTGACCTCCCACCAATTTATACCAGAATTCCAGCAAATGAGTGGCAAGGTATATCCTCAGCTGAGCACTTCCACAAAGCTTAATTGGTAGTTCTCCAAATGTTACCCTAACACAATGCAGAGGTTTGCCTGACCTGATCTCTCCATGAGTTTAATTCAAAGTTACTAGCCTAACTATTTATTTAATGCTACCAGCTTCCTGCCTGGTACTGGCCTAGGCACTGGGGGTGGGAAGTTATATTCTAGAGGGTAGAGACAGACCAAGAAATATAGAAGTTTATTGAAAATGTACATAAGAATATAATGAAATGTGATATAGATAAAAATAAGGTAAAGAAGGGAGACATGTGCCAAATTTATTGATTTTTAAATAGAGTAGTCAGGTCAGAAATGGCTGGAAAGGCTACATTTTAGTGAAAACTTAAGGTAGGCAAGGGAGAGCCACATTCATATCTGGGAGAACACTCTCTGCTGGGGAATAATTCACAGGGAGTATTTCTAAAGAGCAAGGGCACTATTCTGAAGTGCCGAGGTGCAGAGGGAGATCATTAGAAAAGGCAGCCACAGAGGTAATGAGGACAGATAGGGGACATCATTATAAAAGGCAGCCACAGAGGTAATGAGGACAGATAGGGGACATCCTTGTAGTCCCTGGGAAAGACTTCAGCTTTTACTATGCATGAAATGGGGAGCACTGGACAGCTTTGAGCTGCACAGTAACAATACCTCTCTTAGACTTTAAAAATAGATCATTCCAGGTGATTTATTGAGAAGAGACAATCTGGGGGCAAAGGGAGAAGCAAGATCATTTAGCAGGCAGGTGAGAGGTGAAGACTGGACCAGGGAATCAGCTGTGGAGGTAGTGACAAGAAGTGCAAGTGTGCGGCTTTGTACACAAAGTATAATCCAGAGTCTGTGTGGACCTCATTCTCTATCACTGCTGAGTTCAGGACTTCCCTCCACATGACCAGACAGCTCCCAAGCATCCCATTCCGTAGGGATCACTGGGAGGATCGAATTTCTATTTCCAGTTAGAAAATGTCATGAAAAAATGTAGTTGGCCCAGAGTGTGTCATATGACACACTTCTATAATGAGATGTCCTAAGTATAATAGAGTATAAATCCCCAAATTCCCGAATCCTCATGTACCAAGAGTCCTTATAGAGATATCACTGGTAAAAACTCATTTATTTTGGTAGGCACCTTTCAAAAATTACTTGGACCACTTTTCGTCTGTCACCATATCAGAGCCCATAAATTTTTCAGCTCACAGCCTTTGGAGGGACCAATTAAATAGAAATTTCCAAATGTAATTTTATAAAGAAATTGGCCGAGGAGTAGCACAGCTCTCTATTTCATTCTGCTCTTCTTCTGCTTATGAAAGAAAAGCTATTTCATAGGATAGAAGAAGAATATCAAAGACTAGACCAAAATTGTGACGGAAAATAAGTTGTATAGTTCATTCATATGCTAATCTGCACTGAAGTGGTTGAGACGTAAAAAATCTGAACTCAGTTACTATTCTATTGCATATCTATGTCTTGTTCACTAAGGTATTACCAGCACCAAGCCCTATACCTGGCACATCACAGCAAAGCAATAAATCCTTATTGAATGAATAAATGAGCCTTACCGTACCAGAAAATGATGGATTTTCAATTTGCTTTCTTGTATACCAGTCTTTGGTGAAGGCTAGAACTCTAAACATGCTGGGAAATGAGGGAGGTGGTGATTGGAGAATGGGAGGTGGATATTTCCTCTATTTAAATGTCTGTTGTAGCATTGAAAGTATGATTTCAAATTACTATCTAGTTTTTAAAGAATATAAAGTTATTTTCTTCAAAATAACTATATGTTTCTGAAGTCTCTATTGACAGGCATGGGAAAAAAATTGTGGGCTTTGTTTCTTTCAGATGTCATTTTATATTAGTTAATAGTTGCTGTGCACCTGCTAGTTTCAAATGCAGATTTTTCTCTCCAGGAGTTTGCAGACCCGTTTTGGAGATGAGGAACAAATACATGTAAAATTAACTATGATATGAAAGTGACATAATATTGTATAAGAGAGAATAGAAAGGTCACAGGTAGAACATGATATTCCATAAACACTTTGCTGTTGGAAAATGGGGACATTGGGACTACCATGGTACACGGTATGGGTTGAATTGTGTTCCACTCCTCAAATGTACATGTTGAAGTCCTAACCCTGAGAAACTCACAATGTGACCGTATTTGGAGATAGAGCCTTTAGAGAAGTAATTAAGGTGAAATGAAGTCATTTGGGTGAACCATCATTTAATCTGACTGATATCTTTATAAGAACAGAAAATCGACACAGGCACTCATAGAAGAACATCATGTGAACTGAATACAATCATCTGTAAGCCAACAGTAGAGGTCTTGGAAGAAACCAACCCAGACAACACTTTGATCTTGGACTTTCAGCTTCCAGGATTGGGAGAACATGAGTTTCTGTGGTGTAAGCCATATCGTCTGTGGTGCTTTTTATGGCAGCCCGAACCAGCAGTACAAATAAATACAAGTTTTATTCGTGGGAAAAGTCAGCAGCAGAGAAGCAACAGTGCATTCATTATCCTGTGAACTTGCATTTTCCTGCAGCGCTGTTCTTAGGAGAGTCATAGCCAATTGGATGCACCATAGAAAGGATTCTGATAATGGGACCCCACACTCTGTTGCAACTCTGTGGCAATGAGGCCTTTCTGGGTCCCAGTGCCCAGTGGCCAATTTCATCTAGTTCTGTCAAGCTCACTCCGGCCTCCAAACAAACTCTTGGCTCTTTGTCTCTTCTTACCTGTGTATGACAAGACCATCAGATTGGCCAGCTGACCACCAATGAAACACAGATTCTATGGTCTAATTAATAAACAGATTTGCAGGTGCTTAAGTGTACTTGTCAAAAGAGTGGCTATTCTTATTTTTAAGATAATGACAACAATATTTGCTTGTAAATTATAATTTATAAATTGGAGTATGAAGAAATTTCTAGCCTCTTTTACCAAAAAAAGCTACATATATATGAGTCACCAATTTGACTGGTTAAATATATCTTGTATTTATAACTCACCTGCAAGTCATGTACCTGCAAAGGCAAAAGAGAAATGTGGGTAATACGGTTACTTTATGTCTATCCTATTGACTCCAATGACCAGCCAAGGTCACTCAAGAGACCACCTAATTTGAGGAGGATAAAGAGCTGGGGGTCACTTGGTAATTCAGCTATATTGGCATCTAATCTAAGGGGAGACTGGAAACCTAGTTTTGCACTTGCACGTTACTGAATAAGTAGGTCAGCATCTGCCCTGGCTTGGCATTTTACAATCTGTTGGCCAGGCACTCCCACGCAGCTTAGGTCTTCACTTGCCAGCTGGTTTGGGTTTCACAATTACTTGCTTTTTCAGCAATGCGGGTTATGCAGTCCTGGATAACTGTGAAAAAACTGCCTGAACCTGTGGAGTTTTTCCACTGGAAACTTCTGAACTTGGCATAGTAGGTGGAATCCTTTACCTTTTTCCTGTGGCAATGTGACCTAAAAAGACTCAGTGGCAGACAGTTTGGGTGCATATGCCTAAGGATTTTAGACAAATATATTACGTAACATTAAGATGATACTCATCTGATTTCTAGTTAGTAATGGGAAGGGAGCAGGATGCTTATGTTGCATAAGCAGCTAAATGTCTAGGTAGGGTTAATTAAAAAGAGACAATGTTTACTCAATCAGTTGTCACTCATTTCAAATATGTCTTACAAAAATAGAAATACACCTTAAAAGTTTTATAATTTTCAAAAGAAATTGGCCAATACAAAAACTTCTGTTACAACGATGAATTACATTGATTGATTTTTTAACCTTGTATTCATGAGATAAGCACCCCTTTTCACGGTGTTTTATCCTCTTTATATATTGCTGAATTCAAATCGCTGATATTCTATTAAATATCTTTGCATCTATGTTCACGAGTGATACTGGTCTGTGATTATTTTCCTTTAATGATGTTGTCAGGTTTGAAATAAGAGTTATTCTGTCCTCAGGAAATGAGTTGAGGAGTCATTCTTTCTTCTCTATTGTTGTTCATTTGTTTAAGCTGTTAAAATCATTGACATTAAGGTCTTCACAGTGTCTATATAATTTGTAATGATGTCCCCTCTATCATTCTTTGTACTGTATTCTCTTCCCTTTTCTTGATAGGTTTAGCTCAGTATTTACAATTCAATTAATCTTTTCAAATGAACCAAATTTTGGTTTAGATATTTTTTCTTGGTTGTTTGTGTGCCGTTTTATTAATTTCTACTTTTATCTTTATTCACTTCTTTCTTCTACTTACCTGGGGTGGCATATGCTCTGCTTTTTCTAGTTTCTTCAACTGTAATCTTTAATCATTGATTTTAACTTGTCATCTTTTCCAGCATAAGCATTTAAACCTAAAATTGTCCTCTTATGCCAAATTTAGCTATATCCTACCACTTTCAATATATTTTGTTTTCACAATAATTCAGTTAAAATATTTTCTAATTTCTATTGAAATATCTTCTTTAACCAATAAGTAACTTAGATAGATGTACATTGCTTAATTTCTGTCTTCTGTTATGTTTAATCTGCTGTTAATCCCATCAAATGAATTTTTAATTTTATATATTATTTTTATAATTCAAAGATTTCCATTTTATTTGTATGTTACAGTTTCCAAATCTCTTCTGAAATTCTCCATCATATCACCCATTATATTTTACTTTTAATTTGTTAACACATTCCTCACAGGTATTTAAAAGTTCTTCACTACCTCCTACATCTGAGTTCTTTGTGGGTCACTCGATTAACTAATTCTTCTCTGGACCATTTGTCAATGTTTCTGTTTTTCCTCGTGTCTAGTAATTCTTGGTTGCATGCTGGACTTTGTGACTGAATGCAGTAAATATTCCTCAGACTCTGTTTTTTGTCTTCTGGCAAGTGCTGAGTTTTGCCCCAGCAGGCACTGTAATTACTAGTAGATCACGTTGACCTTGTAACGTTGTGGTTTTAAGCTTTTGTCTATTTCTGTTTTACTCTTATTTCTACAGTGAATCCCTTCATCCTGGGACATAGATTTTATCCCAAATGTGTTTCCCTTCTGGGATTCTAATGAAAGGTCACAGGGCCAAGCTCTTTTATCCTGGGCAGGATTTAAATTATAACCTTTGTCTCTTTACTCAGTGGTGAGCAGCAGTTGAAATCTCTACCTAACTCCTCGGTATTCCGACTGTTATTCTTCCCATTTCCAGGTGCTCTGGGTGTCCTAAGTTCCATTTTCTGAATCCAAAAGCCAAAAGGATGACAGTTTTGTGTTTGATTTTTAATGGGGAAAAGTTATTAAAAGTTTATCTAAAAATTTACTTATTTTGGATTATATACACCCAGAAAGCTTTTCAAAAAAATCTAATTAAAGCATATGGGCTGTACCCATTTTATTTGTCTCTCTGGTAAAAGTGTATTTTAACCATGACCTAAAGGCAATCATTTAATTCATGTTCATAGAAGGAATATTTTAAGAACGTATAGGGAAGACGTGCTCTATGAGAAGCGAGACAATTTCAAAGTTTTTCAAATTCCTAAGCTATTCTATTAAAACAAAGCTCTAATTTTAGTGTTCTTATAGTAAAAACTGACCTAGAAGCTATAGAATCTATACATAACATTGCTTTATTATGTATTAAAATAACCAATTAAAAATAATTAATAGAATTCCTAGTTTATCTCTCTATAGACTATTTTATACTCTAGAGGAGAGTTGTCTAAAGTAAGGTCTGAGGAGCACTATTTTCTTAAAATAACAGAGCTTATAATCTATTGATAATTTATTATGTTTCAAATCCCATCCTAAGTATTTTATAAAAATTAACTCATTTCATCCTCAAAACAAGCTTATGAACTATGTAAAGATCAGACAAACTTTACAAATGAAGAATGTAAGTCAGAGCAGTTGAACAATTTTCCCTTCAAGACACTAACAAAAGGCAGAGCAAAGATTTCCACCCATGCAGTCTGGCTCCAGAGCCTGAATTCTTGGACGACCATAAATACAGCTTCTTATTCTAATAAGAAGTGTCCCCTCTCCATAAAACTTGGAAGATATTTGGTTTAATGAAGGTACTACAATTTTTTTAAACTGCGGGACTTCTCAGAACCTTTAAAGTGTTGTATTTTCTCAGATCACATAATATGTTAGTCTATTGATGGATCCAGTGGATGTTCTCGTAAGGTGACTTATCAAACAAATGAACAAACAAAGAAATTCCTCATTTGTAGCATTTGCAAAGTTGTACACCTAGACTGATTTCAAACTACTATTGGTTTAACAACTGGCCCACAGGATTTCTGAATATTTACCAGTTGGCTTCCTGGGATGAGTCAGTGTCCTACTTATAACTCCCCAGAAGATGTATGGTAGGATACAAAAAGTTTTTTTTCTTTCTCTCTCTCCTACTCTCTGTCCTGTTGCTTTCTGCCTGCCTCTATCCCAGCTCACCCACTCCCTCCCTCCATTTATTTTGACAAATACTAACACACACTTTAGACAAATATCTTCTAAGACAAATTCTGCCTTTCTAAATAGAATGGTAATCAACACTGACACACTTAGATTGAGTCTTAAAATTTACTTTAAGGACCTTAAGAACAACAGTAGTAACACGAAGTTAGAACTGATGATAAATGGGACCATATTTCATCAGCTAAAAATCCAAAAAAAATCACTTTAAAATATCATTGTGGCAAAGGATTTAATGAAAATATTACATTTAGTAATAAAAACTGCTATAATTACCACATGTATTGAATAGAGATGAAGTAAATGAATTCCTCTGGGTTCCTTGACAGTCATCTCGAGGGGATAATAGATTATTGCTTACTTTTGCGAATTATGCAGTAAAATCTCCAAGGAGACATTCATTTAGTGTTGCTTTACCCAGTGTGATTAATACAATCATTCCACAGCTAGATCCAAGAGACAGGATAAATCATATATATTTCTTATTGTTTCAGATTACTTTAAATAGAAATGTAAGAAAAATCCTGTTTCCCGTTATTAATGTACTCAAACTTATTTTTATTGTCAGCTTTTGTGTTAATTTAGAAAGGTCATCAAAATCATCACTCAAGCTAAATGGGCTGCAATGAGGGAGCATTCTTTTGAGACAAGGCTTTTCTTGTGCTCATGCAACCTCTCTCCTGTTTAAAGTATTTTGCATAAATGTCGTCTCTGATCTCCAGCACTGGTATAAGCACTTGATAGTATCTTATTAAAAATCAACAAATCCGAGCACTTACTTGGTCAAATCATTGTTCTATACATTGTGTGAATGACAGAGCAGAAGATGACATGATTATTGTGTCTCTCCAAAGGCTTATGTCACAGGAGACACCCTGTAAGGTAAAATTCATACACATTATAAAATGAAAAGGGCCACGAGATGTACAAAGTGCTTAATGAGCTAAGAGAAAGAAAATATTATGTAAGACCAGTCTGTGTGCTATGTGATAAGTTTGTGCATGAGGAGATGTAAGATTATGGAGAAATCCAGTTGTGAGTAGAACCTTGAAAGAATTCTAGGACATCCAGGATGATGTTGAAAAGCTATGGTCACAGGGAGCCATCCTTGCCTTGTTCTTGGTCTCACGGGAAATCTTTGAATTTCTCACTATTGAAGTATGCTGCTAGATGCAGGTTTCTTGTAGATGTTCTCTATCAAGTTGAGGAAATTACTCTCTATTTCTCTTCAGCTGAGAGCTTTTATTATAAGTTGATTCTAGATATTGTCAATTGCTTTTTCTGCAGAAGTCAGATGCATTTCTTTTTCTTTGCTCCACTATAGGTATTGTTTTTTTTTCTGGCTTCTTCTGAGACCTTTTTCCTTGTCTTTGATTACCTGAGGTTTGAATATCATATGCTTAGGTGTAGTAATTTTGGCAGTTATCCTGCTTGGTGTTCTCTGAGCTTCCTGGATCTGTTATTTGGTGTCTCACATTAATATGGGGAAATAATCAGTCACTGTTTCAAATACTGCCTTGTTTCCTTTCTCTTTTTCTTATCCTTCTGGTATTCTCGTGACACATGTGTTATACCTTTTTCAGTAGCCCCACGATTCTTGAATATTCTATTCTGACTCATTACATCTTTTTTCTCTTAATTTTTTAATTTTAGAAGTTTCTATTGTCATATGCTCAAGCTCAGATATTCTTTCTGCAGCCATATCTAGTCGACTAATGAGCCCATCAAAGGCATTTTTTAATTTGTGTTACAGCAGTTTTGATCTCCAGTCTTTTAAAATTTCTTCTCATAATTTCCATCTCCTTATTCTTCTATTCTATTTCCATCTCCTTATTCTTCCATTCTTGTACATTGTTGCTTTTTCCATTAATAACCTCAGCATACTAATCATAGTTTGTTTTTTAATTCCTAGTCTGATAATTTCAACATTTCTGCCATAATTGACTTTAGTTCTGGTGCTTGTTTGATCTCTCTCTATTTTATTTTATTTTATTTTATTTTATTTTACTTTTTGCCTTTTAGTTTACCTTGACTTTTTGTTGTTGTTGTTGTTGTTGTTGTTGTTGAAAGTTGGGCATGATGTACTGGGTAAAAGGAACTTCTACAAATAGCCTTTTATTAACATGGTGGTAGGACTAGTCCTTTAATGAGCCCATGTCCCTGGACTGTGAACTTCACAAGTACTTCTCAGTTTTTTGCCCCCTCTTAGGAGGACAGGATGGCTGGAGGGCCTGGAGTTGCATATTTCTTCCCCTCCAAGTGGCAGTTCAGAGAGGGCTGCAGTTGGGTATTTCCCTTCACCCAGATGGCTTAGGCTCTCATAAAATCCAAGCAGGTAAGGCTCTGATAAAATGGTTTCTCCTGAGGACAGATCTTGTTAGAAAGAAACAGAGTGCTCTAGTGTATTTCAAAGTGGTGAATTTCTCTCCCCCTAAAAGGAGAATGAGAAGCTTTTACTCCTTTGTTTACAGTGAGAACCCGGTTGAGCTCGTGGAGGTAAAACTCACCAAAGTTGGGGACATCCCTATGACTGGGTCCCTCTGTGGTTATTAATGCTCAGACTTGTCCTACACTGAGCCTCCAGCAATTTGCCAATTATGTATTAGGGATTTGATCGAGAGTGGAAAGTCATGGAAGAAACTGATAGGATGAAAATAATATGAGATAAACGTAGAAAACTGGGGAAGTGGCAAGTCCTGTTTGTTCAGATTCCTCTCAGAGCCCCTATGTCTTCAGAGATAAGGATGCTTCTTTCCTCCAGGTATATGAAGGGTACCTTTCACACGAGGGTCTTATGAACTGTTCAGGGGGAAGTCATAAAATCCTTTCTGCACCTGGCATTTCACAGATTTCTTTTGCTTAAAATCTTATCTATGCCAAGTTGCCATATTTTGGGGTAGGATGTCCTGAAACCGAAATGTTTCAATGGGATCTTTTGAAATGCAGAACTATTTTTTAAATTCATTTTTATTAATTTTATTGTACATATTTAAGTTTTATAATACATTTATAAATTGATATACATTATTTACTAATGTATATCAAAATATATTTTGATTTGCATGTGTGAAATTATTATACTTTAGCCAATCAAGTTACCATATCTCTCACATAGTTACCTTTGTGTGTGTGTGTGTGTGTGTGTGTGTGTGTGTGTGTGTGGTGATAGCACCTGAAATCTACTCTCTCAGCAAATTTTCAGTATATAATACAGTATTCTTAACTGTAGTCCCTCATGCTGTACATTATGCCTCCTACATAACTACAACTTTGTACCCTTTGACCAACAGCTCCCCTTTTCCCCACCTCCCCATCCATGGTAACCACTATTCTACTTTCTGTTTCCACATAGTCAACTTTTAAGATTCCACATATAAGAGAGATCATGTAGCATTTTTCTTTTTGTTTCTGGCTTATTTTACTGAGCATAACATGTTCAGGTCATCCATGTTGTCACAAATGGCAAGATCTCCTTTTGTAAGGTTGAATAATATTCCACTCTGTGTGTCTGTGTGTCTGTGTGTATGTGTGTATATATATCACAATTTCTTTATCCATTCATCCATTCTTGGACATCATAAGTATCTTAAACATTCAGGATGATTCCACATCTTGGCTATTGTAAAAATGCTGCAATAAACATGGAAATGCAGATATTTCTTTGAAATAATGATTTCATTTCCTTTGGATATGTACCCAGAAGTGGGATCGCTGGAACTTATGATGGTTCTATTTTTAATTTTTTAAGGAACCACCATACTGTTTTCCATAATGGCTGCTCCCATTTGCATTCCTGTCAGCAGCCTACAAAGGTTCCCTTTTCTCCAGTTGCTATCTCTTGTCTTTTTGATAATAGTCATCCTAACAGATGTGAAGTAATATCTCATTGTGTTTTGATTTGCATTTTGGAAGGGAAAATCTTTGACTTGTAAAATCTGAAAGGCTACCCTGTCTCCTATCCGTTAGCCTTCTCTATTGCTATTCTTTTTAAAATTATTTTAATTGACACGTAATAGTTGTACATGTTTATGTAGTACAATGAGATGCTTTAATACATATATATATTGGGTAATTAGCATATTCGTCACCTCAAACATTTATCTTTTTTTGTGATGGTAACATTTTAAATCCTCTCCTAGCAGTTTTGAGATATACAGTATCTTATTGTTGACCATAGTCATCCTACTGTGCAGTAGAAATCTATAGTTTTAACTTACATCTCCTGAATGATTAGTGATGTTAACATTTTTTCATTCAAATGTTGGCCGTTTGCGTGTCTTATTTTGAAAAATGTCTATTCAGATCATTTGTCCATTTTTAATCAGATTATTTGTTTTTGCACTATTGTTTGAGTTCCCTATGTATACTGGATATAAGCTTCTTGTCAATGTATAGTTTTCAAATATGTTCTATCATTTAGTAGGTTGTCTCTTCTTTCTGATGATTGTTTCCTTTTCTGTGCAGAAGTTTTTCCATTTGATGTAATCCTATATATTTATTTTTGCTTTCGTAGCCTGAACATTTGGTGTGATATATTAAAAAGAAAAAGATTTGCTAAGGCTGGTGTCCAGGAGCTTTTCTTCTATGTTCTCTTTTATGAATTTTATATCACAAGGTCTTACATTTAAGTTTTTAAATACATTTTGAGTTGATTTTTGAGTATGATGTAAGATAACAAGTTCCTTTATTGCATATAGATATCCAGTTCTCAGAACCATTTATAGAGTAGACCTTTCTTTCTCCTTTAACAAGGGCTCTTTAACAAATGTACAAACATAATTCAGCGGACAAAGGATAACATTTTCAACAAATGGTGTTGGAGTAATTGGATATCTGTATGCAAAACAACTGGACTTCAATCCACTTCTCAAACCATGTACAAAAATTAATTTAAAATAGATCATTGACCTAAATATAAAGTCTGAAACTATAAAATTTCTGAAGGACTACATGGGAGAAAATCTGCATGACCTTGTATTAGGAAAAGTTTTTGTTGATATGACATCAAAAATATATTCCATAAAAATGTTTAATTCGACTTTTTCACTATTGAATAGCATTCTATTTAGAAAGTCAGAATTTGCTTTAGAAAATGTTTTCATAAAGTGTGAATATATGTTCTGTATTTGTCAAAAGAAGAAGAAAAGGGAGTTGGGAAGAGGGAGAGAGAGAGAGAAACTTACTTATCTTACTATATATCTTTCTATGGGAAAATCATAGTGTGATGGCTCATGTGAAAAAACAAACTGATGAATATTCCAGATCTGGTGAACCAGTCGTTAAACCATTGTTGTATTGAAATCAGTTGTGGTATAATACTTGGCCAGTATTACAGATCAGGCCCTTTTTCTTTGTTTGGTGAGTAAATTCATTAAGATTTTATGCCCTTGTCCATTACTGGGATAATTGATAAATAGACTCATATTTTATACAGTAAAATACCTTAGAGTCATTAAAAAGAATAAATTAGAGCTACTATGCAAATGAAGAAATAGTCCCAAAATATGACTTTAAATATAAAGTGATGTACTACTTATATAAATTCTTAAACTATAAAAGACTGATACCTTCTGTGTAATATAGATATAGCAGATAAGAACACATGTGATAACATTTATACATGTTACCCAACAGTAACTAACCTCAGGGAGGCTTCAGGGGTGTTACTCAGGGGTTTCAACTGTATCATCTTCAATTCTTTTGTATTTTGAATGAAATACGATAGTTAAGAATTTTAAAGCTAAATGGTAGATTCACAGATTTAATAAACATTTTAATAATACTTTTGTCTATTTCAAATATTGTATAATGCAAGTATGAAAAAAGGTCCAGCTACTCGGGAGGCTGAGGCAGGAGAATGGCGTGAACCCAGGTAGCGGAGCTTGCAGTGAGCCCAGATCGCGCCACTGCACTCCAGCCTGGGCGACAGAGCGAGACTCTGTCTAAAAATAAATAAATAAATAAATGCTAATAATAATGTAATTGAATTGTAAATATCTAACATAAATCAATTGCCATTGCTCAACAAATTAACTGATGTGCTTAATTTTGTTAATAATAAAAATATAATTTTGATATTTATAGTTACAATTGTAGAGATGAAAGTAAACTAATTATTTAGCTAAATTTCTTTTATTTTTAGATGTTGTACTAAATCTTAGAAAGATCAATGGACATACTAAAAGACCAGCAGTTTACCCCCAAAAAGCATATACTATTTTAATTGTTACATCTGGTTAAGAAAACACTGATAAATCTTTGATTTGGTTACTAAGGATTTCTTTGTTCACACCTTCATCTTATAATGTCATTACCTACTTTTGGTTCTAATTCCACCAATTCTGGGCACTATTTTTTGCTTCTCACTCTCCTGCAATCTGTAAAATAAAATAATGCATGGCGTTAATGTCTGCCATTCACAAATTCTGTAAAGGTAAATATAATTAGTCTCATGTAGCAGTTATTTCTAGGAGGGCAGGTTGGTTTTGTAGAAATAAAATGAACTATGAGAAGAAGACTTTCATTCAATTCTTAAATATTTCATAAACTACTTGTGTTGATTGGTCTTCTCTGTTTTCTTTCTATAAAGTAAACAAATCTATTCTCTTAATTTGCTGACATTAGTTGAAAATACATTTTGCATAGCATGTGGAAGAATTTTGAATCCCTTTACCAAACCAAAAAATGCAAAATGATTTGTAGAAGAAATAGAGTTAGAACCTCTATCTTCTGAGTTCAGTTCATTTTAGCCATTAATCACCCCTCTATGCATTCATTGACTCTATGTCCATCTCTCTCCTTTTATAATTTGTAATTTTACAGTAATGCAGTAGTACTGTTGAAATAAGGATGACATGAAATTGTCAGTGATGAATTGGAAAATAAAACATGCATGTTTTTTCCATATTCCCATGACTCTTGGAACTATATAGTTCCTTGTAAATGAGTCATTATGGTCTCTTACTAAGAGATCTTGGTATCTTTCATCATTTTGAAAAACTGCTTTAAAAAAAAAAGGAGATTGGCACTTATTAAGAAGTGCCTTTCAGTGTCTCTCAGCCCCATTTCATTGAGAAAGTCTTGTGTGTATTATACTGCAAGGAAATACAAAATGAGGGTTTGATCCTGTAGCTGTTTTATAGATGGATGCATAAAGATAAGGTCTGACTGCCATGGATGAGGGATAGGATTTTGTCCAAGATGGTTACATACTAAGAGCAAAAAATGATATCCATGTACTGTTAAGTCACAAAATATATTTATTTCTAAGAACTATAGGTAGCTAATTCTTACCTGGGAATAAAGGTTGTGTAAATCTACTCCCCATGTACTTTAAAAAAATCTGTTAGGAAGAATACGAAATAAATGGTAATTGATGGGGCAAAAAAATGCAAGAGGTAATCAAATATCAAATGCAGATTATTCATTGCTAAGCACTTCACACACTTTATCTGGTTTAATTATCAGAACAATCTGGTGAGGGAGGTAATATTCCCACTAAAGTTCAGAGGGTTTAAATACATTCATGAAGTTCATGTCTTATGTAAAGGTAACAGTCAATGAGAGGCAGAGCCAAAATTAATACTGAGATCTAACGAAATTCTAAATCTGTCTTTCCCCCACATCACATTTCCTTCTTCCAAAGTAAAGTGTTTTTGTTACCAGGTATCCATAACTTCATACTTCATAAATGTCATCAGGTATGAAACGTGGTAACTCATGTAGAGGTAGAATTTTAAGAGGTGAAAAATATTTTTCATGTATTTTGTTTTAATTTTGATATGGCTAAAACTTCTCCTAGATTTAGAAGATGTGTCTTGCTGTTATGGTGCCAGAATGGAACATTGGTGAATAAAGTTATTAATGATGCTTTTATCAAAGACCCTGGGGGAAAAAATAGTCTCTCCGATACCACCATTCTTACCCCATCCTCAGACATTTTTGTCCCATTATTGGGTATTCCTTGGCCAGATTTCATAAGAGCAATAAATTTAGTTATTGAGACTCAAAATTTTTTTAAAAATATGAACCATCCAGGCAAGTGAGTTCTATAATAAATTTTATAATAAAGTAATAAAAATAATTGTTAATAAAGCAAAATTATCTGTGAATTTATAATTGAACCATTTATTTACTCAAAAATAAGTATACCAAAATGCCCTTTAAAAGAAGTTTGATATGATCAAATTTGATGCATATTTAAATGCATAAATCCCAGTGAACTCAAAACTTCCAAGAGATTTCTTTCTCTTTCCTTCTTTCCTTCTTTCGTTCTTTCCTTCTTTCCTCCTTTCTCTTTCTTTCTTTCATGTCTTTCTCTCTTTCTTTGTTTCTTTCGCTCTTTCCTCTTTCTTTCTTTCTGTTGACAGAGTTTCGCTTTTGTCCCCCAGGCTCACTGCACCCTCTGCCTCCCAGGTTCAAGCAATTCTCCTGCCTCAGCCTCCTGAGTAGCTGGGATTACAGGTGCATACCACCATGCCCAGCTAATTTTTGTATTTTTAGTAGAAACGGGGTTTCACCATGTTGGCCAGGCTGGTCTCAAACTCCTGACCTCAGGCGATCCACCCACCTCGACCTCCCAAAGTGCTGGAACCACAGGCATGAGCCACCGCGCCTCGCCTAAAGTATTTGTATTTTTATCTCTTTCCAGAATCTCTTTTTTTTTTTCTTAAATCTCTCTCTTACTCTCTTCACATGAGTCAATGACAGAGAAAGGTATATGAGAAAGTATCACATCACCTATAGGCATTCTCATTCACATATCTGTAAGAAAACACTTAGGAACAAACACAGTTTGTTGTATGTGTGTTAGATACATACATAAGCCTATAAAATTGCATTGTTTTGTAAGTTAAAATGGTGAAATAGTGACAAGTTCATGTGGCTCAAACCAATATAGCACAAATCTCTTTCCACAGTGTTCTATGATAGTAAAATCATTTCCTTTTTCTTGTGGTGCATAGAACTGTATTCAATATATGCCGAACTGTTCAGGGTTATAAAGCTGACTGTGTTCTATTTTCTGGTTAACTCAATCAGTTAAGGCACTATACTATCATGGCAGTTAGTTCCTTTAAAACAATGTAGGTAAATGTTGGTTGTTGATTACAAGGAGGAGTGAGTAAAGGAGTGTGATTTCCTTTTTCTATTCATGGTTAATTTCTCTTATAACAACCTCTTCATCTATCACCTTCCTGAGTCTCTCAAAATATACGTATTAACCTCTCTCCATTTTATGCTAATCTCAGTCCTCTTACTGACTCTTTACTGCTTATTAGAGGAGTAAAGGTTTAGATAAAGAAATGAAATGGTCAGTAAGTTTGCATATTTTAGAAGATTTTTTTTTTGAAAACCAAGTTAAAATTTTGGATAAAGGTATTTCTGTTAAGATAAAAATAAATTTTAACATATTTTTTCATAGCATTTCTTTATTATCTGTCTTTTATCTCTCATGGTACTTTTTACAAATTATGCATCTTGATTATGTTTATGCAAAGTTCCCTAAATATAATGCCAGTCAACCCATTAGTCCCACACACAGCATCCCACAATTCTCCTTTGTGGTACTTGCTGCGATACTAATTTGTAATTTGTAATTTGTAAAATTATTTTTAATGTCTCTACATAGTAAGCTTACTGAAAGGAAGTATGTTTTGATTAATGTTCTTATTTATTAATTATAAATTTTTGATTGTTGCTGTGAATACAGAATCTGCCACAGTGCTGGGCACATAACAGGTGCTTATACTTTTTGACTAAATGTCTGAAGTATTGAAATAGTACAGCATAATAAAAAATTTAAAAAAAACACACATAATTCTCTTTATAGGCCGGAGACAAATGCAATGTGGCCCTGTAGCTTAGGCAGTGATCCTGGCATTAAGCAGGCTCTTGTTCAAACTTTGCCTGTGCCATTTATCAGTTAGATAATATAGGGCGTTATACTTAGTATCATGCGACCAAGGTTTCTTTTTGTAAAATGTGCATAATAATATACCCATATCATATTATAGGATGAGTATGAAAAGTAAATGAGATCGTGAACAATGCCAAATGTCCTGAGGATAAAATTCAGAGAAAAATTTACAGGAAGGATTAATAATATTAGAAAAGGTTAAACCTAACTCATCATAAAATAAATGCAAATTAAAGCAATAGAAAGCCATTTTACTTATCACATTGGGAAAGATTGAAACGGTTGATACTGTCTGGTGCTGGTAAGGATGTGGTGAAATGTTTACACTCATATGCCCTTGGTGGCAACATAAATTAGTGTAACTTTAAAGAGAAATTAGCCGTTTTCTTTTAATATCTAAAATTTTAGATATTACATACTAAGATTGCTGAGCAATCACACTTCTAGGCATATGTCTTATAAATACATTCACACAATTGAGAGGGGATTCATATGCAAGGTTATTTATTGTAATATTTCATAAAACAGAGGAAAAAACACACAAAAAACCCACAAAATTTTCACCAGTTTTATAATTTTTAAGAAAAATCCATTATTGTTCTCCCTAAATGGAATCCATTTATTCTTGTGTGTATTGAAGGGACATAATTTGGAAATGAGAGGGACACCATTTTTTTTCTAAATTTCATATATATTCATATTTCTTATATTTAATGGTCTACAGCTTTTATTATTTTTATTGAACTTCTTTCCAGATCATAAAATCCATTCTTATTATAGAAATTGTATAAGACAGAAAATCTGTAATAGATTTTGCCCCTCAATTTAAAATGAAGGATTTTGTGGCAGTTATTCTTCTCTATTTTGAATGTAAATTTCACCGTTCAAGTATATGCTCTAATAATCCTAGAAGGAGATGTGCAAATCAATAAACCTTCTCTCTCACCAGGTAAAAGTTTAAGGAAAACACAGATGAATCATACATTTCTGTATAATCTGTGCTTTTGTCACAAGATTGCCATGACTCATTTATGACTTTCCATATTTTTAAAACCAGTGTTTTTAACCATAGAAAATCTACTTCGTGGTTCAATTATGATGACTCTTGAGTCAATAACATACTCTTTACTTCACACATGACTGTTTTGTAGACATAAAACCAAGTAAAGTTGTCCTTGACCATTACTCCACAAAGCAAAATCCTAAATAAAGGAAGAAAGAGATTATGAAATCAAGAGAGTGCTCTTAAATGTACACACTGTGTTGGATGCCACAGACATCATTTAATCCTCACAATTCCCTATAGATCAATCTAGAAGACAAGGGCCAAATGGCTATGAGGAAGGGACAGGTTTGAAATGTGAATCAAAATCCGTATGATTCCAAATATCACTAAAACAACCAAATTACCATATTGTGTACTGACCTCATTATTTCAATATCTGTTCCATTTTCTAGCTGGTTTCACAGTTTTCAGGACCAAGTCTTTTGGACAATATTATGTAAAATGAATGTTTTTATTACTTAATTATTAAGCAGTCAGCCCTGGCACTGAGAAAGAAACAATATTCATGGACAATTCCACAGCATCATTTTAACCAATAGTTTTATCCTTTGTTCATATAAGATTGGTGGAAACAGAAACAGTCAGTTCTCTTCAATATCTTTAATAATAATTATACCTGAATAAGTGGATGCTATCTGTTCAATTATATGTTTTTAAAGTAATTATTTCTAAGAGGATGCCTTTAAATTAACTTCTTGACCATAAAAAGAGATCAAGTTTTGAATTACTTCAACAATTCAAAAAATGTCAGGAGCAAGAAATATGTTTGATTTACCTCATCTTTCCTTTGAGAAGTCCTTTGGGCAAACTACTTTTAGTCCTCATTTTATCTCACTGTGTAGAAAAAATAGTAATATTTAAACAAAAGTTTGCTGCAGAAACTTAGAAATAATCTAGCAGTTTCTAATATCATATTTCTTTAAATCTCTTTAAAAGTAATGAGAAGCTCATGAATGTTGGAAATAACAGAGGATAAAATCTTATCTCCTCGTCATGTAACACATTTCTTGTATCATAGCACTTACTTAAATGAAGTCATGGTGTTGTTTTCTTAAAATGATTTTAACTCGGAAGCTCTGGCTCAAAAACAAGCCTATTTCTAATATAAGTAACTATACTGCAACCCCACGGGGAAAAAAGTAACCTGCTTTGTGTACCAGGAGATGCTGTTCTGTCATGTTAGTTTACAATTTTCTCTATGTCTCTTGTTTTGCTCTTATAAATGACCATATTTGAGAAAGAGGAAATTGGGTGTGGTGATGTATGGAGTTTCTAACTTTAATAAACTCATAAAGTATAATAACTACCTGCTGCCTTTATTGCCCAAAACACTATAGATTCTGGAGTTCTTGTTTGGAAACAATGAAGAAAACAATTTTACCATTTAAAAATCTGAAATTAATTGCAACCCTAAAATTTGAATACTTTGAGTTATTAAAATACATGCTCTGGATATGTACTGAGATTTATTGAAACCCAGCTTGCTTTCTGGAACATGTTTATTGAAATTTTCATTTGGAGGGCTTAAAATCTTTGCTGCCTCATAGGGTTCAAATTTATCATATAAGATTTGTCATGGACTTTATTCACCTGTCATAGTGGGAAAATGAATGAATTGTTGGATCATCAGGTCACTTTTCTTTGCTAGTTATACATCACATCTTTACTAATAATTGTTCATAGATTTAAATGTTAACAAAATGACATTTTAGCATGTGTCACACACTGCAATCATGTTCCTGATAGGCATTTTGCTGAATTTCTAAATTTGTGAAGTTAACATTTATCTAACAAAGCTCAAGTGAGCTAGTCAATTACATAGTGCCAAAAAGCAGTCATTATAGAGCAGAAATTTCTGAGCTTCGGAAAATGTACAGAGTTCATATCCCAAAAGTGTCTTAAGGAAGCCATTTATAATCATGATGATATTAAACCAAATATGAAGTTCATGAAATTCAAATTTGTATTTTTTTCATAAATAGAGCAAATGATACTAATTTAATTAAATAAGAAAATTTAAAAGATGTGTCTCTTATGTTTAAAAGTTCCTGTGTGCTTTTTCTGGCTTTTCTTCTTACTGCTTAAATTCAGGTATTTCTCAAGGATCTGTCCCCAGCTGTCATCTCTATATATGCCCCCTTGGAAGGCTCTATCATCCGTGTTTCTGGATTCAACTACCATCTCTAGACTTAGCAGTTCCCATTTGGGACTTTTGCTCTCCTTGGTCGTACATTTCTAAATACTTACTGGATATGTATCACTCTGAACTCATCATATGCCCTCCAAATTCTGCCACCAATTTTACTTTTTAAAACCAAATCATAGTAGTAATTCCTCATTAACCAGCTACTATTTATTATAAGCACTTTACATTCATTGCCTCATTTAATTCTTACAACAAACAGCAAAAGACACGTTATGGTGGTTGCTTTACAGAAATGGAAACAGACTTAAGGATGGGTAAGAAGCTGATCCAAAGCAACTTGGAAATGAGAAATGGAGCTGGAACTTCAACCTAAAGTGGTTCTGACTCCAAAGCCTGGGTTTTTAATCATCTTCCCCATCCAGGTTTGAAACCTCAGACATATCTCTGATGCTACAATGTCTTTTAACCTGCACCATTGTTTATCTTACTAGTTCAAAGATAAATGAAATATACAACTTTGGAGCCCCATGAGAAAATACTACTATTATATATTTACAAATATAATGTCCTTTGTACAAATGTCCTTAGCTCCTTGTAGCATCCTTAGAATTATGTTAAAAATGAAGTATGTTTGTCAGGTAAATGGGAGTCATTTTAATTCTAGACCCAATTTATTTTCTGCACCTGTCTCTTTCGCACATTTACTGCAGCTTCCCCAGTCCAGACCTTTCAACGCTGTGACCCTGGTTTTTCCACGTGTGTCAACCATTTCTCTTATTTCAATCATCCCTTAGCTCCAGTTGGTCACAACATGTTGCAAATTTTCAAAATTTAAATTCTGAGCCCTTGCTCAAAACCTTCAGTGATATCCCACTGCGTATGTAATAAAACTCTTTACCCTAGCATCCATAATGTCTTTGAATAATGTCATCTCATTCCCCTAATGTCCCAGGCAAGCTAGGTCTTATCATTGCAGGACCCACTGGGGACCCATTCCTATCTTCTGCTCTTCCTCATACTTGTGAATCAGCATTTTTCTCTCAGCACAACCACATTGTCATGAGCCTTCTAGGTTCAGCTCTTTCATGGGAATTGCTGGTTCATCCAGCAAGGAAGGAATTAATGTAAATAATGCACTGTGACATCTCCTGAGCATTTATCACTTTATTCTTAGCATTATAAATAAATTTTAAATAAATAAATGTGTGTGTGTGTGTGTGTGTGTGTGTGTGTGTGTATGAGAGAGAGAGAAAGAGGGAGAGAGAGAGAGAGAGAAACCTGTTTATCCAATCATTTGTCCTTAATAGACCAAACCTGTTGGAATCTCAATCTGGCTTGTCTCGAAAAGAGTTTTGATCATATTAGGTAAACAATCAACACAATGGGTCGGATTGTTTATCAAATTCTAGACTCCCCAAAGGAAACCTGTAAAAGTAAAAGAAATGCAGCAACATTTACTATTCACTCAACAGACCTTTCAAGGGTCCTCCTATATAGCAGAGAATGCATTGAGTACTTTTTTTTTTTTTTTTTTTTTTTTTTTACCATGTCTATGTTCATCTGTAAGTGTATCTCAGGTAGCAGAAAATTCCTGCACATTTCAGACACAAAGGAATAATAAACTCCGGGGTAGTTGAGCTGCCACTTAACAGCTCAATCAAAGGAATATATTTAACTCTCAATGTTAAAAATGCAAACAAACCTTTAACTTCCAAGATCGATTACACGTAAAGAAGGAGGCTTGCTGGCAACAGCATTCTGTCTTGTCAAGGGCTCCTTATCATCAAGGAAGAATAAACACTCTAATTATATTTTTTTTTACTTTTTTGTTTGTTTTCTAATTGGATCATTCATTACTCCCTAGAATTCAAATCAACATCAGATTTATAGTTGGAGACTATTGAAATATTGATTTGGTTATAGAAATGTCAAGCTTGGCAGGTAAGCTGTCTTAATGCCAGAGAATGATTGTTTTAGCAAACTTGTTTAAAAAGGCTGAAAGAATGTAATGAGCAAGCAATTTGCATCTGTATCAGGCATAGAGAGAACTTTTTAAAAATTTAAACAGTCTCCTTAGCATCCCTCCCATTCCTAATTCCTGAAATTAAGATAGCAAACCTGAGCCTCATTATTAAAAGGCCCGGCGTTCATTTTCTACTGCTTCATCCTTAATGCTACATTTAAAGTGAGATACAGAGCATACTAAATTATACAGGATGTCATTATTAGGATAGAGTGTGCCATTGCTGTACTGTAGTTAAATGTGGGTTCTACATGGTTCTGCAGTTTCTAGCCCTATAAACCTCACATGCCATGTTCTCTCTCCATATATCTTAATCACCTTTAATTTGGAAATAACAGATCTACCCTGCTTATCTTACATTGTTGCAGTGAGAAGAATGACTACGTTTTTTGAAACCACCAGCCATGCTGTACTTTTAAAACATTTTTTCCTTGAGAAATCATTGCCTAAATCTCATACATATGTGCTTCTCTGCAGAAAAAAAAAATGAAATAAAATAAAAATCTTTATTTCCAATGAGCTAATGAGGAAAAAGGGGATGATGAAAAAACAGGGAGTGGGAGCAATTTGGAAATGGAAAGAATGCTGAATACCTACATGATGCCTAATTCAGAAGAACATTCTGGTATGTAGGACATTATTTTCAACTCTATCACTTACGGCAGATTTTTTTTTTATATGCAGATGTATCTCTACTCTCTAAAGATGTACATGTGTACACTTATAGTTGAGAGCCAAGTCTCCCTTATCATTGGTGAATGAGAATGAGCTACTGAAAACAAAAAGAGGGTCTTCTACTCAGCCTCTACCCCTAATATTTATATCAGAAGCGGAGATTAACTGTCCTTACTCATTCACACGTTAATGGAAGAGAAGGAAGTTTCCTAGAAAAATCCTCCCGCTCCACCCTGCAAACTTTATGCTTTTCTGTTACATAATCAGGCAGGGGCAAGACCTAAACTATTTTGAATTGGTGGTGTTGAGGCTAAATTCTCTGCTATTGACAGAATTGAGAATGTGATCAATTTCAGAGTAGCATGTTACAAATTTTGTCCCAATTTCAATGGGGAGAATTATAACAAATCAGTAGTGGTTGGCAGAATCTGTTCTTACTTTCCTCCCATCCAGTGACTAGGATTTGGAAAGCAGTGTTTTCTATCAGGATGATATACCAACATCACATTTTTAATGCTAAGAGCCGAGCACCTCAGCAAGCTCTTCTGAACACACCCTGCATGCTGTCTCCCTTGTACATCTCTAGCTGATGATTCAAAAAAGAAACCTTTTAATCTCACTCCACTGATCAGCTATGATACTTAAATGTTTTAGCTGTGAGCAAAATAATATGCATTCTCAAAGAGAGTATCTTCAGACTCCAGTGGCCGAGAATCTAGAGTTAGCAATGGAAAAATTAGTCTCGGGCTTCTGTTTCTGCCCACAGTTTTCAAATTAAGAACAATGTGTTTGCACTTAATGAAACAACCTCTACTGCTCTTCAAGAGGACTCAGGATACCGATTCTCGAGGCCCCTGGCGGTCCCCTGTAAGTACCATATGCTGTCCTTCTAAACTCTAGCAAATGCTTTCCCCACTGGTATTGAAACTTTCAAAATTCTCATTTTCAATCTGCTATCCCCTCCAAAATAGTATTTTTAGATTAGATTTCCTTTTCTTCTTCTTTTGTGGAATTCTTCCAAAAAATGTGAACTATGTACATTAAGGGAAATCATAAATCAGCAAACTACGCAACATTAAAATGCATGCAGTTCACTTTGAGGATTTGCAGTTAGTAAGAACTAGATACATATATTTGGTGGTATTGTTGTGGATGTGGAAATGTCATTCATATAAGGAAAATGAGTTTATGGTCTCAAGACCATAAATCAGTGAGTTGTCTGAGAAACCAAGGGTACCAGTGAGGCATTTCCTGATTTTTACTCATAATATTTACAAAGATTAAAAGAGATAAAATTCCAAATGTGAAGGCTTAAATTGTTCAAATCCTTACTCAAAGAAATAGTGGGAAAGGTGGGTAAGTCAGAGTCTGCTGCCGATGAAGGAAAAAAATCAAGTTAATCTCTTCTGAAATTATCATGATTTGTTTGGTTTAGATTCCCAGAAACAAAGAAAAAAAATGGAAAAAAAAGAGGACAAAAAGTACTTTCTAAGCACTTTTTCTTTCGAAATTGAAAAGTCAATTTTGGCTAATTCAATGTTTTCAAAGAACAAAAACACAATCAAAAAACCAACATCAGGATATTTTACTAGTGTGTTATTTATAATAATCCAATGTAGCTTGAGACCTTAAGGATGAGGTATACTTGAATTCAATTGCTAGAATTCCAGATGCTACCCAATAATATTCATTTTTATACTGGAGCAAGTAATTTTTTTGTGGAGCTAGCCATTGGAAACTAGGAAGCAATTTCATTTAAAGGAGAAAAAATAGATTTTATTGTATATTAATTTCCATGGAGAAGTCATTCTGATCATTCTGAAGCTCTTTTTCCATAAGGAAATGGAAACAATTTTTTCAGTTGTAGAGGACTTTAAAAATTTTATAGCAAATGGCTTAGTACTTGGCTAACCTTTTACTTTATACTGGAAATTACGGTAAAGATACTCCAGGATATACAATATGTTGATTTTTACCCTCTGTGGTAAATTAGATATTTTTAAATGGTATTAACCAAATATTTTAGATGCTATGAAAATGGGGAGAAACAAACATAGACAGAAGGAAATATTTCTTGATCATTCATTGTAATTCAAATAATATCCGTTACCCATAGATTTTTCAAAGGAATTAAACTTCTTTTGTATCATCCTCCTTGCCTACTTGAAAAGTTAAATGTTCCCTTGAAAGCTCCCCAGGGCCTGAAGATGTGTCCAGAGATGAATTTTCCATGGAGATTCTATCAACATAAAATGTTTTTAGTATTTAAGTGTGTGAATAATTAGTAAAGAGAGATTCATCAAATCTAAAACCCTATTTGTGGGACCTGTCCAGTCCATTTGGGGCATCATCTAGCTTTGTGCACGTTTGATTTTCTTAACCAACATGAGATTGTAGTCCTCATCATATAAATGAGAAGACAGAGTCTCGGTTACATCATTTGCCAAATAACAAATAATTGGTAAGTGTCTGAGACTAACCCCAGCTCTCCAACCAAGTGCACACTCTCCCCTCTACTTTTAACACTCTCTTTAGATGCACTGCAGACCTCATCCCCAGGAGCCGCTCCCACAGTGCTCCCCTTCCCGCTGTACACATTTCTGGGCTGAGTTTTCCTCTGGCCAGGTTCAGACACTACCTTGTGCCAGGGAGCACTCTCCTGTTCACTTCGAGGCTGATAGGGCTGTTTCTCTTCTCTCAACGTCTTGTCCCTGTGGGCCTTAAAAGGGCTGCATTTGAATTTAAGGAATTTACATGGCCACTGTAAATGGAATCAGTGATCTCTAAGAATCTCTCTATGATTCTTCCTACACTTAGTGAAAAATACGATGCCTTTTGCCAACTGGACTCATGAACGTAAATGTCACTGAATTATATTACACTATTTGCCTACCCACCCACAATTTTAATTTTCTCTACATTGCATCCCAAGCATCTTACCATTGTACTTTGTAGAGAATATCTGATCAAAAGATAGAATTAAATAAATAATTAATGAGCCAATAATAAGCATCTTAAATTGTTTCAGTCTGCCTAGTTATAAAATAGGACTTTATTTTTCATGGTTTGGTTAAAAAAATAAAAACTACATTATTATCATGTCCTTAAAATATTCCATTCTGAATTGTGCACCAGAGGTAAATTTCCACTTACTTCAGGTAGATTTTTTTTTTCTTTTTAGAAAAAGTAGGCTTACATACATGGTGTTAAATGTAGTTGTGGTTTGTATTTTCAGGAGCTGATATTAACTTATAAAACATAAACATGAAAGCCATTTTAAGTCTCTTCAAATCACTTGCTTACATAATGAAAAATTTCCTTGAATATATTAGTCCTCCCAAAATAAACTTAGCTTCTATTAGTCAGTTACATTGACATAAGTTCATTTAACAATATCTGGCTTATTACAGAAATAGTAGAAGATGTAGCATCTAAAGTCTGGACTATTTTATAGGATCAATTAAATTCATTTAAACCAAACATCACATATTTGCATTTAACTCTAATCATGCAATGAAGACAGCTCCATTCTCTGTTGCTTCCATTTTCCTTTCTTCTCTATTGTTGAACAAGTTTGTTTTCAACTCCAGTTCAGTTTCTTGGGCTCACTCAGTTCTTACTATTAAACTGTTAAAAAGTGTTAGTTTTACTAAATTCCTCTATTACACTTATTACTATATTTAAACCATTTTTTTATCTGAAGAAACTCCCTGGAAATAACCATTTTTTCCAACATATTGTCATGCCTTTAAAATAGTCTGCACAATTCTAAGAGTCACAAATTCAGTTTCTAGAACCATCGCTTTAGACTATCACAGTCAGGTAAGACATTACAGTTACAAAACAACTTTAAATTTTAAGTTGCTTATTATTCTAAGAAAATATCAGCTCTGTTTGGTTTTCATCACAGCACCCAGGAAACAAAAACAGGAGCTTCAAAAGAAGCGAAACTATTTTTTTAAATGATTAGGGGACTTTAGACAGTGTTAGACAATCCAGAGTGTTAATTACCTACAGTGAGTTGCTTAATTATATACCTCTGATAAAATTAATAAATGAACACTTTAAGATTTTAATTAAAATATTTTTGTAAAAATGATGTTTCCCCCCTCTCCTTAAGGGTATTTTTTAAAATTTAAGGAATGAATTATGCAGGAAAAAAATCCATTGTGTTTGTAAGATAGCCAGTTAGGTATAAATTTTGGCTTGATCCTTCCCAGATCATTTCACTCCCCACAACATGATTTTTCTTAATTAAAACCACAGTGGAATGATTCATTTAAGGAAGATAAAAGCAGAGCTCAAGGGTCAGCAGAATGACATAGTGGAAAGTGTCGATGTGGTCCCCTGGTATTTTCAAAGTTAGGAGGCAACTATTTCCTGGTTTGGTTCTGCCCACAGATCTCCCATAGAAATTCAAAAGAACTAATGAACACTCTGAGTCTATCAAAAGGAGAATAGGTCCCCAGAGAGTGGTTGATTTTAATAGTGTTGACTTTTACATCTCCGTCTTCACAATACTTAGCTTCATGGCCAAAGTTAATCCACCACATTTTAGTTATGGGAACAAATTTCAAAAATAGATCTTTCTTCAGCTGATAACAGAAAAGGATGGAAAAACTGGTCCAGTAGAGAGGAAGCAGTTCAAACAAGTACATATTAAGACAGTCTTTAAGGCTATGAGTAGCAATAGTTTCACTTGCATTGGGCCCACATCTGTAACATTCTTCCTTAAACGCACCAGCAATTCAAGGGTTAGTGATTAATACATAACTAAAGGTGAGAAAGAGAAAATTAAACTCTTCAAAGATATTTCCTAAATTTAACTTAAATTGTCTCTGGCCAAACACAAACCTTGAATATTTAGCTAAAAGAATTCCATATTTAAAATACATATGACTGAATTGGATGTAGTACTGATTCCCCCTGAAAATGACTACGTAAGGCCCATCAAGGTCTTAAATGAGGTTATTTAAAAGGTACTATCTGCATGACAGCATTACCTCTATTAAATCATATAAAACCCAAGGATGAAACAGGATGTCTCCTCAGTTGTGAAGGAGTATTTCTTATCCTTTCAACACAGTTATTCTAATCTGCAAGATTCTACTTTCTAAAGAAAGAACGTTTAAATACTTTGGTGAATGGTAATACATATCATGAAACCTATTTTACAAATGATACTTCTTGGGATTTTTTTTTAAAAAAAGATACACAGGACAGATGCATGTATTTATGAGGCTACATTTTAACTAAAAGACAAATGGCTGTTTCAGAGGTTTCCATCCCCAGCTAGTAAATTACAATGTCTGTGGCAAAAACCAGTGTATTTAAGGTTTCAAGATGACTTTTGTTATTCCTCTATGTCCCTGGTCACTTAGAAGTTTCTGAAAACCTTGTGTGTGTTTCAAGTCTGTTCAGGGTTAAACTCTATGTAGATATTTGGAGGTAAATCAATTCAGCCATTTTGAGTTGCACAAAGGAGGAAGAAAAAGACATTTTTTTGTGCTTCTTTCTACATTTATTTTACACTTATAGATACATAAAAATGGCTGAAAGTTTAAAATAATATTTATTTACCTAAAGGGAGGAATCAAAAAGTTAACTCTGAAAAAGAAGTTTAAAATAGCAGTGTTAGAAAAACATGGAGCCCATGAGTGAAAATATCTAAAAACTTGATGTCCAAGCTCTGTGGTTCATGTCAAAACAAAAGTTGTCAACTAAAAGAGAGATGGCTATGATAAAATTATAAATGATAAATTAGTTTTGCTTATAGAGATATAACTGTGTAAGTATAGTCAAATATAATTATACTTATATGGGATATAAATTATTTTATTTTATATTTAGAGAAAACAGATTCACATGTTGTCCTTTTGAGAGATAAAAACAGGAAGATAAGGTAAGAGAAGGCAGGTTTAGTAATTTTGAATCTAAAAGTGACATTTCCAATAGGGTGTGTCAAGTATATAAAGTCTGTTACATCTCTTTTAGGTGTTTCATGCGTATATTTATGTAGAATAAAGTGAGATTCCTCTATTGGCTTGACCCTACATAAGTCAACTAGTAAATTACTAGCCTTGGGGGTAAAAACCACCACTCCAGAGAAAACCTCCAGAAGTCCTGCTTTAATAGAGAAAGATATAATTGTGAAGATGCATTAGAATACTAACAGTGGAAGTCTGAGGAAAACATAAGAACAATGGAAATTGGGAAAATAAGCATTTTAAAGATAGAGCATTGAAGCAGAATCTAATAACCTACTTCTAATAAGCCTCTATGACTGAAAATGTAATTAAATGATCTAAATCTATACCTCAGTAAGTTTTTAAGAGTTTGTTCACATTTTAGGAAGCTAGTGGATTTTCCTGTACAGGCATCTCTGTCAAAAATTCCAGGGGGATAATAAGCTAGAAAATACATAATATATTTAAGCTCGTATTCTTGCTACAAAGGTTGGAGTTATTCCTGTGTGATTCATAATTTATTTAATACTATTGAAATTCCAATGGAAATGATTATTAAGGCCATGAAAGAGAGACTTGGTGAGAATAAATAAGTTTATTGGAGGAGCCCAACTGGGTGACTGCTGTCATATTTGGAATACTGTTGGAAAAGTCTTAGATTAGTAAGCCTTACACATTCTATCCACATAATGCCCAATTCCTGAATCTTTGGAAACATATGAGTATGTGGTTGAGTTTTTAGACTATTATCTGTATGTGACCATCAATTTCAACGTAAGTTAAAATCAGGAATCACAGTAATCACAATAGGACTGCTTTGTTAATTTTTCTTTTCATTTGCAGGATCTGCATTAAGTGGAATTTTATAAAATATGCTTTTACCAAAAGAGTAAAATTCTTAGCACATGAGACATATTTATTTGCTAAATATTTTGACATATTCTATATGTATCACTAATTTTACAGATATCTGAATATAGCATAAAACACTTACTACCAAACTCTAAGTGATTCAGAATCATGTAGCTCAGAACATGTTGTTCCCCAGACACTCATGAATTCCTTTAGTTCCGAAGTTTCATGCTTGGCAGACAACATAGCATTCCTTGGTATAAAATCATGCAGAGCAGTTTTCTATGCTATGAAGAAATTATAGAGACCAACTGAAATTCCTGTGTTTAGAGGTGAACCAACTAACTCCCAAAAATATCTAGTGACTTTTTAAGATCATGTATGTGATGATGACTAAAATTTTTTAAAATATGGGGCAAATGTTTGGAAGAAAAATATAGACATACTACTTATTTTGTTTTTAAGTATTCCCTCCCTCCCTTCTTCCCTTTCTCCCTTCCTTCCTCTTCCTTCCTTTATTCTTTCAGAACATTAGTAGAATATTTCTTGTATTGCTTCCAAATCTTTGAAGAATAAAACATATTTAAGTTGCTTGGCGGCAGTTTTAAAAGCTAGATGGCCATCTGGACTAGCTGATACCTTTAAATATAACCCCCAACCCACTTCCCGGCCCTTAAATTGTTTGAATCCAAAGCAAATATGTTCTCTTAAAATGACTGACTTCCGTTTAATAAGGGAGGTAGGTTGCAAATGGAAATCAATTGCCGGAATCTACTTCTTTCACAAAAAAAAATACACTATAAAGTGCATCAAAATATAGTAGTTAAAGGGAAATTAAATAATAAAGACTACTATTAAACCTTAAAGACAAATTTATTTCTCAATACAGATAGAGGTAATGACTTCTCAGGTGGATTAAAATCAATGACATTTCAGGAAACATGGTAAAAAATACCATTTAACTAAATAATTTATGAAATACTGAAGGAAAGGATGGAATAGAAGAATATTAATAAAATATTCTTTAGCATTTTGACTAAAACTTCTATATGATCTGAGCTATCAAATACTGAAATGGGCTTTAGAAAAATGCACTTTCAGAACTAATTTCTCTGTTCTTTCTCTTTTTTGTAGTAAGTCATACTCAAGGAAAATATTTGCTTGTTTGAGCATCTTGGTTACTTATAAACTGGGAAATCGGTAATGTAATGTGCTATGAAAAACAAAATTAGCCGGGAGTGGTGATGCGTGCCTGTGGTCCCAGCTACTCAGGAGGCTGAAGTGGGAAGATGGATTTAGCCCAACAGGTGGAGGCTGCAGTGAGCTGAGATTGTGCCACTGCACTCCAGCCTGGGTGACAGAATAGAAAGCTGTCTCAAAAAATAAAATAAAATAAAGAAAATCAACAAAAAAGAATGCTCTAGATACCTTCCATAATAATTCATAATTCAGTTATTTGAGTTTAAGCTTATTTTAATATATTTCATTTATCTGAAAATATTTTCATAGCTACTATAAAATCACAGTCTTGAAATCTATAAACATACTATAACCTAATGAGAAAACTTCACTTATGGCTCAGGATTTCTCATTCATTTGACAATTCAGAACATGTTGATCCTACCTCTCCTGTGGCTATTTTAATGGCATACTTGGAATTATAACGGTGTGGGCTTGCCATATCCGCCTTCCCACAATATACCATGCTACTTGTAAATAAAAATTACCCTATTATCTTTTAAGTTTTGAAGTACTTTGCACTGAATTTGTTCTGCAGAGCTAATCTTTATTTTAATAAAAATATTCATAGATTTATTCAAACAATATTAAACTGAGCAAAAATACAAACATTTCAAAGATTCCTAGAATATCAGATGAAAGGAAGGTTCCTATGCTTTCATCTTGCTGGTAATTCAATTAATAAAATGTTAAAACTTCTTGAAGACTTTACTTTAGAAAAATATAACCCTAGAATTTTGGCGCTATTTTTTTAAGCTACAAACTGTCATTGTTGGGACAGTAACCGTCCATATGTTGAAAGTAAATACAATTTTCACCTTTTAGCTCCTGGATTTAGGCCTAGTAAGCTTTCTAAATATTCACTAGAGGCATTCTGATAAGTATAGTTATCAATATACATTTATTAATTTTCTACCTGTTGTGTGATACTGCCCTTGGCAAAAGCGTAGAACAAGATGAGTTGATTCTAAGTGGTAAACTAACCAAGGCACTGCCAAGATGAGATGTACCTCAATTTCAATATCAACACAGCACTGATTTCAAAGGTGGGGGATGGGGAACCGTTTTTGAATAGCCAGCCTGTATATATCATTTAAAGCAAAATAAATAAAGCTGAGAACCAAGGCAAAGGTTCTTGGTGGTACTGCTGCACAGCAGGAAGTGGAAACACAGTTGAGATTGCTCTGCAAACTGTGTGTGTGTGTGTGTGTGTGTGTGTGTCTTTCACCTCTCACTTTGAAGGTTGAGTGGTGAAATGCCACAACTTTTTTTTTTTTTTTTAACTTCCCTTTCAGGGCACAGAACAGACTTAAAAAAAAAAAACCTGACAGCTAGATAGATGTTCATATGTACATCAAGGCATAATGAAAGAATAAAATGAATATGCTTTCTGATTTTGTACAAAACAATACTGTTTCAGTCTAAAATGAAAAGAATTATACTTCCAAAAGCAATACCATTACACACAAAAAACTGCAGTAGATTACTTTAAAAAGGAAACAAGACTTGTTTTGTTTTTTCAAATTCTGATTCTTGAACATCCACATTCTTAATATTTCTTTCCAAAATTTAGATATAACATCAGAGAATGACATCCTTCAAAATAAATTGTGCAACAGAAAACTTGAAGCGACAGGTTTTATTCCTGCTTGCTTGGTTCAAAAAATATGCTAATATTACTTGAGGAAGTAGAATAAGAGATACAGAAGGATTCTCCAGAAAGTGAATAATCTTGGAGTTCACATTTTTTCTTATTGACTCACTCGATTTTTTTTTCTCAGCCATTCTTTCAATGGTGTATTCAACATACAGTCAACCGTATGAAGGAACATAGGCCACTTTAGTAATCATCAGGAAGTCTTAAAGCATGAACAGCGTTCAAGACAGAAAGAAAAAAGTTGACTGGGTGCGGTGGCTCACGCCTGTAATCCCATAGCTTTGGGAGGCCGAGGCGAGTGGATCATCTGAGGTCAGGAGTTTGGGACCAGCCTGGCCTACGTGGCAAAACCCCGTCTCTACTAAAAAATACAAAAATTAGCTGGGTGCAGTGGCAGGCGCCTGTAATCCCAGCTACTTGGGAGGCTAAGGCAGGAGAATCCTTGAACCCGGGAGGCAGAGGTTGCAGTTAGCCGAGATTGCGCTGTTGCGCTCTAGCCTAGGACACGGAGCAAGACTCTGCCTCAAAAAAAAAAAAAAAAAAAAAAAAAAAGTTACAAGATAGAGTCTCACAAAATTTGTTAGTTTACTAAATAGTCTGCCATCAGCATCACCAAGCTTCATCCGGATAGATTTTCCCCAAAACCCAGGGAATGCATCACTATATTTTGTTTATGTCCTTCTTCAACCTAAGGTGAGCTTTGCTTTTGTTTTGTAGTATTACATATGTTTCTAGAAACCTGAGATTATGGTAAAGCTGGTAGGTTATCTTCCATTCTTGAAGCATAATGTCTTACTCAGATGATCTGGGTTTGCTTTCTAAGTATTTTAGTCTGTTTCTCAATCCTGGAAATTGGAGAGAGAGGAAGATTCCTGGAATAATCATTGGTCTGCATTAAAGAGCCACATATTTAGCCACTCAACTTTTTGTTATCTTTGTCCTTATTGAAGCATTAGTGTCAACCCTAAATTCACTGAAGCTAAACACAGATTCTTTCTCTGCCCTGGATGTTGGAAAAAAAATGGTGGTGATATCCACCATTTGCATTGATAACTGAGACTAGGTCATTTGACTGAGATGGGCAGGTATCTCTTTCCTTCAGCACTTGTTCATGTAGGTTCTTCTTACTGGTGAAAGAGAAATAATTTTCACTAGAGAAAGAGCCTTAGGTCAAACACACATGAATGCCTGTGCTCCCCCTGGCCCTGCTTGGGATTTACTGGGAATACTCTAACTTCCTGCTAAGAATTTGGTGTGTTAATCTAAAGAACATTGTGTGCTTTTTTAGTGTAAGAATCTATAAAAGATTTAGTGAGGACTTGGGAACTAACACTTGGTCCCTCTTTCTGGTAGTAGTAAACAGCTATAGTATTTAATTGTCTTAACCTGGGAAACTTCACAGGATATGAGATTTCAATGGGTTTGATGTTGGTTTAAGTTTTGGAGATGTTTAGGAGTGCCCCCTGTTTCAGGACCACTTCCGGCCCCCTAAAAGACTACTGTTGGTTAGACAAGATATATACCTTTCAAAAAATAAGGGAATTAATTTATGCTCAGTCAATTGCCCATTCTTTCTGTATCTTAAAATAGGATGCCAAGAATAACTGAGAAGCTTATCTGGGTGATTGCGTAGAGTATTCCTACATACAGCAAAATCTATATATGGCAAATAATTGAAAAGTCTCACTACAACTTTGTGGCTACTTGCATGTGCAGATAGCTTCAGAGTATGTGGGGTAAGTGACATATATACATCTCTGTGTCTCTCTCTCTCTCTCTCTCTCTCTCTCTCTCTCTCTCTCTATATATATATATATATATATATATATATGAATACAGGCTTGGTGGCCATACACGCAAGATAATATTTGATGTCACAGACCCGACACAGCACTGAGAAAAACAAGAAAAGGGGAAAGGGAAGTATTGCTCTAGACAGGAAGGGGTTTTGGCAGAGTTAAAGGTCCAGAATGAAGCTGAATATGGTTGTGTTTGTTTCACTGCAGTCCCTCATATAAGGTGAACAATGGTTAATAATAAGAGCTTACATTAACAGCATTTAACATGTGCCAGGCACTGTTTGACATGCTTTAACAAGTATGAACTTTGGTAATCCTCACAATAGGATATGAGTGCTAATGTTACCCCATCTCACAGATTTAGAAAAAAAAATCTCACAGATTTAGAAAAAAAAAACAAAAACTGAAGTTGGGTTTAAGTAACTTCAGGTTAAGCAACTGAAACAGAGTGAGCTCATGGGTTTCCCAGCTCACCCAAGCTGGTATCCAGCAAGTTATGTTCCCGAGTTCTGAGCCACTGCAGTTTACTGCCTCTCAAATAGGCACAGCTGAGCCTGTTAAAATTATTATTTTATATTAATCATATTTTAATCATTTGTTTTCAATGAAACACAGGAAAGATCCATTTTCTTTTTCCAAATTCTCACCTCTCTGAACTGCCCCTTTTTTTTCCAGTCATTAGCCACAACCATTCACATTGATAGTTACTTTAGAAAGTGAGAGGATGTTGTTAAAAACTATTTTATTGTGAAAATAATCTGTACCCACCGAGGAAAATTTGGAAACTGTAAAGATATAATTGAGTGGGAGTGGGAAATAACACTGTATTTTTTTCCCTTAAGCAACTCACTATTAATATTTTGGAGATATTTCCCTCTAACTCTTTCTCTTACCACTAAATAATTTATGATCATTATATATATGTAATATTTACTGCTTTTTCACCTACACATTTTTCAAGACTCCAAAACATCCTCTGTATATTTGACTGCATATTGATTCCGCCACACTGATTCACTCAGTAACAATCTAGTATTTACTATTTGCTGGTTACTGTTCTATACAATAAGGAGCAGAAGAGAACAAGACAGAAGTCTGTTCCCATGAAGTTGAACTTCAAGTGAGCTCAATAAACATTTCCCTAAATATAATTATTCAATAATAGTTCTCTCAGTTCTGATTAATATTAGTAGGGCTTGACTTTTAAGAAATCTATTTTCTCTGAATAAAGGGAGTAGAGTTAGGTTATTAAGTTTACTGTTCTAGTGCTGGGTAATCATATTGAGTATAATTTTTGTTTTGTTTTCCTTTTTTCACTAGTGGGGAATGCTTTCCGATTTTAAATAAACTGTAGCATTGCCAACAAGTCTAAGGCTTAGGCCAAAGTTTCTACTGACCCCCTATGTCCTTTACGGTGTTAAGTGTTTATGTTCAAAACTCATCAAGATTAAAAGGAATCTTATTTTAAACCACATGTATGCATCACTTAAGGCAGTCACATTTTTCACTTTTAATGTTTCATGTTACTAAAATGTTTTGTTTCTAGGATGTACCCTTATGATACATCATCCAGGCCCTGCTCGAACTCTGGGCACTGTGCTTAAACAAAATTTGAATATTTTTTTGTTAGAATGGATTGGGTTGAATTAAATGGAATAATATAATTAAAATTAAATTCTCAGAAGGCATTGTTAAAAGGCAAAAATAGTAAAAAGAATCTCAGATTTTAGTTGTTATTTAGCGACAAACTGCATTTTCTTTCAGCTTCTTTCATAAATTCAGTAAATGGAAATAATTATTAGATTATTCAATTTTGCATATATCTAGACAGTAAAGAGATATTTGCTGCTTTGGCTGTTGGTAACAATTTAATTCTATTCACAAGAAGAAAGGTGCACATGCTTTATTTTTCAGAAATATTTGATTAAAATTATTGAAATAGGTTTTATGAAAGAAGTTGTTATGCTGATAGTGAAAATTGCTTCATTACACTCTTTATAAAAGGTGAGTCACTGAATTACATTGATCTCTCTTTGATCAAAGAGTCTATGTTAGTTACATGTAATAAGCAGAATTTATGGAGCAAATCTGTTCAATGTAATGCTGATTTCAATTATTTTTCATTTTAACTGGTTGTGTTTATGCACACATGCATATGTACAGATTGAATAAAATTTCCAAAGTGGGTTAAATTTTAGCCCAATTCTCCAAACACAGTGCACTGCATGCTCCATACCCTCCAAGTTAGAAGTATGATGATAAATGAATGGAGTGAATTTTTGCATAGACTATATGATCAATATATGATCGAGTGTTCGTTACTTGTGAGTTATGCCATGGAAGCTGGTGTCTGCTGCTGGTCAGGCTTGTTCAGGTTTTCTGCCTGTTAAGGTGCAGCTGGATACGTTGCATTCTGGTGTCCACATTTGACAAAAGTTTCCATTCGCTAATGGTTATGTGAAACTTCTTGCAGCAGGTCAAAAACATAAGTGCTTTAGGAAAACCATGAAGAAAGTGAAACCATCTAGAAAGGAATCTAAGTTTCCCTGTTTGTTCCGTTCCCCACGCTTATCCCCCAGTGAATTCTCTCTGCCCACTCTGACCACTTTTTCAGAATGCTGCTGTCTTGGCGAACTCTCTCATATTGGTTAATAGAAGCTGAGACATTAAATAAGAGTCAGCTAGCCCTTTAGAGTTTAGAAGTACTTTCATCTCCTTCAGCTTCTAAAAACCCCTGGTGTTACTATCCTTATTTTAGAGATGAGGAAGTAGAACTTTGGACAGGAGAAGGGGCTGAATGAAATGGCTTGAGAGAGATTTGAGCTCGTGTCTTTGGCCCTAAGTGTTTTACTGTTACCTGTTTAACTTGCTGCCTGTAAGAAAAAGCTACCTGCTATCAATGACTATTTGCTTCTCTATGTGAATTTACATTACCTGCTGCATTCTCTGAGCCATTTTGTTTCTTCATCCTTAGTTTTAATGATAGATTTAAAGGTTTCGTGAAGAAGGCCATGCATTAGAGACAAAGTGGAGGGAGAATCAAGTTTAAGAGGCTCCTCCCTAGGTGTTTGCTATCACCCCCACCCCTCAGGTATGTGAGCAGCCCAGATGAGAGAAAGCTCCGTCACTTAAGTGGTGAGGGAAGATGCTGAACAGCATCGGAGGAACGCGAGTGAGGTCTCGGTGGCTGGGCTCAGTGCACACATGTGAAATGGGATGCTCTAAGTTTTCTCCAGGTGAACAGGACTTCCTTGACCAACTGGCTTTTTACAACAAGAAATGTCAAGGACTGTCATATTTTTCATGTAATAGAACTTGCTTCATATTAAAAAACTGAAATGCAGGATACTTGTGTGTTCTATGTAATGTCTAAATTTTCTTCTAGATAGGACACTGCCATATAAAAGGAACTTGTGGAAATCATAGGTTTAATTTAGTAATGCCCAGAGCACAGCATGTAAAAATATTTCGTTTTATTTTGTATTTTATATCCTCTATGCATTTTCAACAGCTGTATAAATGTCAGCGGTTACCGAGATTTTGTGGAAATGCCCACATTGTCATTACATCACCAAGTAATATCGTAAGAACTCATGATGGAAAGTTTTATTAGAGGTGTGTAGGAGTAAGAGTGTCACTCCTATTGAGCAACTGATATAATATTGTCCTGCCAGATGTATGACTTTGGTAAATGACCATGACCTTCAACTATAGTATGGACATCATGACACACAGTTACTTGTAGTAACTACATTTCTGGGAAAATGTGACTTTACTAATCTATCTTTATTTTGCCAACAAATAACTGCCATATCAGTTTAATTTTACTTTCTTGAAATATATCAAATGAGTTTAGGTGTAAAAAATAAAATGGATAGGTAGGTGAATACATAGCTGGATGGATGCTATATGGAAAAATAGAGAATAAGGGATAAATCCTTCATGGAAATATTCATTAGATTGAATCAAATTAGGTAAGCAATGTAACCACATGTGAATATATTCTTGTGGAATACAAATTCATGTTTTCATAAACCTGAATTAGCAAGAGTAATCTGTGGGCAATACTTATTAGTTTTACTATTACTTTATTAACAAACTAATACTTTATTAGTTTTTTAGCTTGCTCAGTGGGAATAAATGCATCTATTAATATTTGGCCTGGAACATTCTATTCTAACTGGCAGCAACTACTGTACAGTATATTAATAGCTACAGTTTAGCTGCTACTTAAACTAAGTTCATAGCATTGTCACTAACTTTTGCACACATTTATTTTGAAGTCAAATGAAACTATTAAAATGCTTTAACTGCCTTCAAAGTTATCCATGATGTTATGCAATATGTAGCCTCTTATTTTTTTCGCACTTTCTTTTTATGTGCTTTCATGAATTATTGGACAATAAAATTATATATTTCATTTGAGCACAAATGTGGGGTATGTGGGGAATGAACGTATGTGGGGAATGAAGAACGTGCAAGATCAATGATTACATAAAACTTGTATTCATTGTATAAAACCTAGAGATACTGAGGTTTCTCTCTCTTGTATGAGATATAAGGCTAAATAAGTAAATGATAGACACGTATGTGTCAAAAAGCAAGATGTGACTTAGCTAGAAAAGGCTTCAGTGTTAAATTTTTGCAGAAGAAAACATGTTTGTGAGAACTGAGCATAATGCACTGTAATTTGTGTAGAGGTTGATTCTAGAACAGTTTTTCACTTTCTTGTTTACTGAAGCCTCTCTCCTCCTCACTTTCCGCTACTTTGGGTTTCTTTTTGCGTTGTAGTCATCCTTTCTTGGCGCTCCTTTGAAACATTTAGGTGGTTAGAAATGACATGCTTTGCCACATGTTTAAAATAAAACATTAAAATTATTATTTAAAAAAATTTTTGCATCCTTAAAAAAAGAAGGAAGAGGAGAAGGATGGGAGGGAGAGAGGAAGAGGCCAAGGTGAGGCAGGGAGACCACTTTATCAGATGCAAGTGTACCACAGTGGCCTATACTCATCATTCATTCCTTAGGTATTTGTTCCACTAAGAAAAGTATTTCTTGGAGGTCTTCTGAAGATATTTGCTGTCCCCAGTCTCCCCCAAAATACCCATTTGTATATGAATATTAATTTAAAATATAAATCAGTTTTTTATTAAAAAAGCAATAATTGGGTGGGGTGCAGTGGCTTACGCCTGTAATCCCAGCACTTTGGGAGGCCGAGGCAGGGGGATCACGAGGTCAGGAGATTGAGACCATCCTGGCTAACATGGTGAAACCCAGTCTCTACTAAAAATACAAAAATTAGCTGGGTGTGGTGGCGGGAGCCTGTGGTCTCAGCTACTCCGGAGGCTGAGACAGGAGACTGGCATGAACCCGGGAGGCGGAGCTTGCAGTGAGCCGAGATCGCGCCACTGCACTGCAGCCTGGGCGACAGAGTGAGACTCTGTCAAAAAAAAAAAAAAAGCAATAATTGGAATTTAAAGCAACACTTTGTAATTGGGACTATATACTGGCGATTAGTAAGGTAAGAAAACAAAACAAAACGAAATGCCCAGCCTCCACACACACACACACACACACACACACACACACACACACACACTTGATTTCAGGTTTTCACACCACATTCTAGTGGAATAATTGCCATTCAACTTATTATATAATTATTAGGGGTCTTATAGTTAGAAATTTCATCAACAATTTTTGTCCATGCAACTGTAGAATTCAAGTATTCTTGCTAAGTCATTTAAATATATGTGTGAGATGTGTTATTATTAATATGTTCATTTACTCACAAATTCTTAAATAATTTTAGGACACCTAGTCTAGGCAAAGAATTATGCTACATCTTCTAAGTGCACCTTGAACTGGGTAAATACTTATTCACTTTTACTTAATAAATTGTAAAACAAATTACTATAGATAAAGGAAGTGATACATTAAATATCTCTTAACAAAGGATCCAGAGCAGACTTTTTTTACTTTTTTAGTGTGACAAATGGAACATACATGAAGCTCCCCACTGGAACCCTGTACTATCTACTTAACTTCTCTTAATATTTGTTTCTTCATCTGTAAAATGGTGATCATGGCCGGGCACGGTGGCTCACACCTGTAATCCCAGCACTTTGGGAGGCCGAGGCGGGTGGATCACGAGGTCAGGAGATCGAGACCATCCTGGCTAACATGGTGAAACCCAGTCTCTACTAAAAATACAAAAAATTAACCAGGTGTGGTGGCAGGCACCTGTGGTCCCAGCTACTCGGGAGGCTGAGGCAGGAGAATGGTGTGAACCCTGGAGGCAGAGCTTGCAAAGTGAGCTGAGATCACACCACTGCACTCCAGCCTGGGGGACAGAGTGAGACTCCATCTCAAAAAAAAAAAAAAAAAAAAAAAAAAGTGACGATAATTCCTGTATCTCAATATTATTACCACCTGTATCAAATGACCTAAAGTACCTAACACATAGGACAGGCTCTCAATAAATGTTCATTTTCCTCTTTTCTTTTCTTTTCTTTTCTTTTCTTTTTTCTTTCTTTTTGACAGAGTCTCGCTCTGTCGCCCAGGCTGGAGTGCAGTGGCGCGATCTCGGCTCACTGCAAGCTCCGGCTCCCGGGTTCACACCATTCTCCTGCCTCAGCCTCCCGAGTAGCTGGGACTACAGGCGCCCGCCACCACGCCCGACTAATTTTTTTGTATTTTTAATAGAGACGAGGTTTCACCGTGTTAGCCGGGATGGTCTCGATCTCCTGACCTCGTGATTGCCTGCCTTAGCCTCCCAAAGTGCTGAGATTACAGGCGTGAGCCACCGCGCCCGGCCCGTTCATTTTCTTTTATCACCCTTCTGACGACGGCCTGGAGCATATAACATATAATCCACCGCCGGCTTTCTGGTTTGTTTCAAGCACTTGACCAGAGTTATATGGGATGAAGTTATATGTAAAAATATGTGAATATGGTTCGGGAAAAGGAACTCCTTTTACCAAAATCTCAGCAAAGGGGATTTGCAACAAAATGGCAAATGGTTCAGGGTTTAGGATGGAATACATTGTGAGTAATGTCTGTATCAAATAATCTATTAGCCACACACCCTCTTCTCTTTCATAAGCGATGTAAGCTCAAAGTACTGTGACAACCTATAGTTCTGACATCTAGGCGCTGAGTGTAAATCTATTGGTGATTTAAAATATGATTCAAAACTAAAGAAAGATAGGTTTTGTAGCTTACCAGTGGGATTGTAGATGTAATGGAGAAATTTAAAAAAAAAAAAAAAGGGCACAAGTTGATTATTGAGCCAATTTAACAGAACTTTGCAAACAATATCCTGAAATGCCTTTGGTCACATATCCTACTGGTTTCTCTGACGAGAGCCCCAAATTTATTACAACTTGTGAAAAATGTTTACATGGTAAGGAAAGGAAAAGTTCATTTGAGGAAGCTAAGATTGCCTTGGAAACAGCATCAAGCATATGATTCATGTGCACTAATGTGCAGATAACTATTAAATACTTATTTGCACGTGATAACAAATTGTATTTACAACAACCCAAATTATTTACCCGAAGACCTCTGATTAGGGGGAATTATTATTCCTTGAGTAGTAGGCAATAGTGTCATTCCCATTTTGGTAACTCCAACCAATGGAAAGTTCTTTTTATTTATTTATTTTTTTTACAGTCTCACACTCTTGCCCAGGTTGGAGTGCAGTGATGTGATCTCGGCTCATGCAACCTCCGCCTCCCCGGTTCAAGTGCTTCTCCTGCCTCAGCCTCCCGAGTAGCTGTGATTACAGGCATGCGCCACTGTGCCTGGCTAATTTTTGCATTTTTAGTAGAGATGGGATTTTGCCATGTTGCCCAGGCTGGTCTTGAACTCCTGAGTTCAAGTGATCCTCCAGCCTTGGCCTCTGAAAGTGCTGGGATGACAGGTGTGAGCCACTGTGCCCAGCCAGAAAGTTCTTTGTTATGAATCAGAATTTGGCCCTCTCTTAGAGGTTGTTTTCCTCCAGTTATTTTTAGGTAATTTTCATCTCCTTCTAGCACTGGCTATTTTCCTGGGCTTGCTCATAGTTTCCTACATGAGGAGTTATTTGGAACCTATTCATGATAGAGATCAATTGCCCTGGAAAAAGTCATTGAGTGTGTGATGGACGCAATGCTAAACTTTGACTGGCTAAAGCTTTGACTGGCTGGAGCAGTGTCCAGAAACTTTAATTCTTTATTTAGTCCAAGGTAGAAATAGCTTTTCAATGGCAGCACCATCACATTGCAGATGTGTATCGACTTCATAATCAACGAAAACCCCTAAATTGTGTTTTGTTTCTCACATGTGTGGCTGTTAAGTGATAGAGTTTTGATCCTGAGCTTTGCTTTTCTTCAGCTGATTAGATGTAGTCCATTGTTACAAGACGTATGGTTCATTCTATACCCAAATTCTGTCAATCAGATCCAATTCTACTCAAATAATTTTCTAATTTCAATATTTTATTTCTAAAAGGACCCACTTGTATTTGAATTTTCAAGGAAACATTATTTCTTCCTAGACATTGTATTTTAGACCTCTTAAAATAAGCATTGATATGTTTCTAAGGGAAAATATATAATAGGATCAATAGAAATTTTAGGCCTTACAAACTTGGAAAGATTTGGTATTACAATGTTTCAATGTTTCTGAGTGTTTGGGGTTCAATAGAAAACCTCAGTCATATTTTGCCCAAAGCAAGTCTTAAATTTTTAATTATGTGTAATAAATCCAGGCATATTTAATCCATATATTTCATGATTCATTTACACTTCAATCACCACGTTGTTGTTTTTGAAGAACCATTTGATGTGTATAAGCCCTTTGAGCCTTTAAAATGTGCGTATAAAACCCAATCCCTCCCCATCCGTGTCCACACACACATACACATTATTTGAAAATAGATCATTATATTTTGCTCAGGGTAAAAAAAAAAAATGAAATGCCTATTCTTGAGGTGTGGTTTTAACTTTTATATCACACTTGGCTAGATATTTTTCTCAGTTAAAAATCATGCCTATGTCAAACCTTTGTTTAAAAAGTGCCTCAGAGTTTAAATATTTTAAATAACTATTTCATAGACTCATATGACTCATCAAACAGACAAAAAAAAGTGGTTAGCTAAAGGCCTAAAAGATTTAAAAGCCCTGAATCTCCTTTTATATACCAGCTTCCATACAGAAACATTATAAAATTTCATCCCCAGTCTTTCTCTCTTTCCTGATATTTAAACCAAAATATTCAATTGCCAGCTGCACTTCTCCATCTGAGTGCTCAAATCCAGCATAACCAAATAGGGAACTCATTTAATTCCGTTATCATATACTCTCCCTTCCAAAAAATCCTGCACTCTTCCTGCCATCCTCCTCCTACTTAAAAACAATCTTTTCTCCTTTCCAGGTTTTGAACTCTGTAAAGACTATTAATGATCTACCCAGCTGCCCACTTGAAAACTTGGCAGAAATGTGGGCCAGCGGGAGGAGAATTTCTCCTTCTCACCCCAAACATCACCTACATTATGCAATCTTAGGAATTCTGTCTCCTAAATACTCTACAACCCACCTAAAGTTCTTCACCCCTCCTGCCAAAACAAGTTCAAACGCTCATGTCTAAATTACGTTAATATTGCCTACATTTTCTTCTTTTTTCTAGTCTTAACCTCATTTAATTCATTGGCACCACAGCTGTCCAAATAATCTTTCAAAAACATAAATTTCAACTTGTCACTCTTCATTTCAAAATCTTCTAATGGCTTCCCGTGCCCTCAGAGTAAATCAAAATCCTTAATATGGTTCACTGGCTTCCCCCATGGTCATCTGTGCAGCCTAAATGACCACCATCCCTCACATCTCTTCTCTGTACATATCATGGGAACGCTGGGAACACCATTTCCTTTAATTTCCTTATTTTACCTCTAGTCTTCTCAAAGCATGTCCTCTGTGCCTAGAACACTCTTTATTCACTGGGCATTTTCACACCCAAAAGAGTAGAAGTTTTAGGGCCGGTCACAGCGGCTCACACCTGTAATCCCAGCAATTTGGGCGGCCAAGGCAGGCAGATCACTTAAGGTCAGGAATTCGAGACCAGCCTGGCCAACATGGAGAAACCCCATCTCTACTAAAAATACAAAAATTAGCCGGGTGTGGTGGTGTGTGCCTGTAATCCCAGCTATTCCGGAGGCTGAAGCATGAGAAATGCTTGAACCTGGGAGGCAGAGGGTGCAGTGAGTCGAGATCATGCCACTGCACTACAGCCTGGGCAACAGAGTGAGACTCTGTCTCAAAAAAGAGTAAAAGTTTTAAGATAGCCTGTATCCTATTCACAATCATTTTCCCAGACCCTAGCAGAGTGCTGAGCATATAATATGTGCTCAGAATGTGTCCTAAGGAGAGAGGAAGAAAGGAAGGAAGAGAGAGAGAATGGGAGGGAGGAAGGGAGAGGGGGAGTCCATGAGTGGACACAAAAACTTTTCCCAAATCAACCCATAAAACTACCATCCTCTGAATAATGTTAGTATCAACTATCAAATTTTTATAATATTAAATCAATGGTGGATATAAAAATAGAAGGAGGGGCTGAAATATCCAAAATAAAGTCAATCACAGTAAGTCTGGTTTGAAGGACATGAGTAGGTATCAGCCCAACCCTTAGAACATCATCAAACATATAATCATAAAGCTAGAAGACACCTTAGGTAGCTTCTAGATAAACACCCTTATTTTCTAGAAGAAGAAATAAAGATAAATGAGCTCTTATTCATTTCCTCACTTCCCTTCCTCCTCTGTCTATATGTAATGCAAGATTATGTTACTTTATTCGCTTTGCAAAAAGATAAAGGGTTATGGAAATTTGAACCAAATTTTGTTTTAGGGTATTACTTCAATATGACCTAGACATTGAAAATCTGAAAACAGATCCATTTGCACATCCAGCCTAATACTTCTAAGGCACAGATGGGTGGTGGCCGTTTAGGAGGAGTTTGGACATAACCTTGTGAGTGCTGCGATTTAATGCCCTTCTTAAAAAGATGTGGAGTACACCACGAATGACAGCATTGGAGACTCGAAAGCTTTAGGAATCAGTTGTTTTGTTTTCCCAACCCTGAGGAGACAAGCTAGAACATCCTAAAATAGCAAAACACCAAGAAGAGAAGAGGACCATGAAAAGGGGGGAAGGGAGGACATTAGTAAAGCAACAAAGACCATCCATTTGGGATAAAAGGATCTGTGCTATAGAGATAGAGAGAAAAGCGACATTTACTTTAAAAGCATGCATTGAGTCCTGCTATGTACTTAGTAATAGTGTGACTAGTCAAGTGAACTAAAGTTCTTGACACTTTGTTGTCTAATCTGCATAATAAGAATTTTAAAATTTGCTGTAACCAGTTTACCTGCAATGATCAAACTCAAAAGTGACAATGCATATAAGTTTTAAAAAATTGTTTAAGTATGATGCAAATAATAATTCACAATTCTAGCTGGGTAGGTCCACTTCTAAAAACTGGTGATTCTAGTTGCTTATAAATTGTGCAGATATAGTTATTTCAATACCTAGAGTTTGGTCAATGGGCCACACTCTAAATTTGAAGGTGAGAAAGGAGAGAGCAATTTCATAGCTTGTCTATTACAGAAAATTTCTCGATACAGCCTCAGTCTTTCCTAAATATTCATAAAGATACTAACTGGAGTTTTGGAAAATATGCACTTAAAGAGTTGAAGAACATGTAGTCATTTCTGTTATATAGATACATTGATGAAATTTCCCAGGAAACGGGAGATTATTTCTCACTAACTTCTGGCTTCTATAACAATGGAAAGCCAAAAATGATTCTGAAACTGATGAATTTACTTACATTTTCAAACATTGCAGTCAGTTTCCTAACTTAACACCAAAGCAAGGTTCCAGTCTGGGGAGTGGAGTGAAGCCAGACATTAACTGAAATTTTATTTTGTCTACTTTGTAGAAATCCCTTTTCAGAGGGAAAGCAATAAACCTTTGTGCTCGTCTTTACAAAGTAATGGCAATTTGAAGTAATTCTCTACATTATCAGCATTATTATTACACAGATAATTGCTTCTCACCCCCATTGTCAAGTCTTAAGGTATTTATATAATAGACTTCTCAATAATATCTGGAAAAATATCATTTTTTTTACCTCCACAAGATCTATAGAAATAAAGGTGTTCTCTCAATGTCATAATCTAGTACTAGAATTATGTGGCAAAGTTTTTTGTTTTTGTTTTTTTTTTTCACTTTCTAGTGGCATAAAACACTTCAATCACACGTAGCTTTCTGGAGCAACAGACCATGGGCTGAGGATTGAGTTTCCGGGAGCCACAGCAAGGCTCTCCAATGCCATCTTTCTGTCTCACTGCTGAAAGTCAAGAATCACAGTGCTGATCTTCAGAAACTGTGGGTTCAGAAACTCACCTGGTCACTAGAATTACTCTCCCCACTTTACCTCTGCTACCCCGGAGATCCCCGAGACCAGTCCCTTTTGGGGAGCCCTTGATGGCATCTTCACTAGTAGCCCTTTGGCTCACATGGGAATACCCCCAGGGACTCCTCGCAAGAGGGCTATGAGGGAGGCTTCATTATTCTAGTGTTGAAGCCCAGAGTCTCAACCTAATCAGCGCTTTCCTTCAAGTTCGAGCCTCCAGGAGGAGCCAAGGAGTTTCAACAGCGTTTCAAAGTTCGCAGTTTGTATTCTGCTGCACCAGAGACATCATTGAATCTTACAGCTGATGCTACCTTCTTTCCCACACCTGGATTCACCCAAAGTCCTGGAGAACAGCACATGGTGGAGAGAAACCCCTAGCCAATTTTCCCTTCTGAAAGATAAGAGCAAGACACCTGGGTGAACTGGTGGCTGAGGGACCTCCGCTCCTGGATACATGTCCGTAATCATTCATGGAGTGAGAAAATCGGCCTGTATGTTACCACTAAAGAAGCTAGTCTGTAAGAATGTATTGATTTAAGTATATATAAAAATACATAGAGTAAATTATAACTCCCCTAGGCACAATTTCATTATATACCTTAAAAAATACATAGATGCCACTCACTTCACTGCTAACAAAAATGACAATATCATTTATCATTCCAACCATGGTACTTTTTTTTTTTTTTTTTTGAGTCAGAGTCTTGCTCTGTTGCCCAGGCTGGAGTGCAGTGGTGCAATCTTGGCTAACTGCAATCTCCGCCTCCCGGGTTCAAGCGATTCTCCTGCCTCAGCCTCCCGAGTAGCTGGGACTACAGGCGTGTGCCACCACGCCCAGATAATAATTTTTTGAATTTTTAGTAGAGATGAGGTTTCGCCGTGTTAGCCAGGATGGTCTCAATCTCCTGACCTCGTGATCCGCCTGCCTCGGCCTCCCAAAGTGCTGGGATTACAGGCATGAGCCACCACACCCGGCCCCATGGTATTTTGACTACAAAATGAGACACAATACATGAAAAAGTGGTCTACTGTGGATCACTACTCTCAATGAAAAGAAACAAACTATTGATACATTTGACAAACCAAGACTTTCTCCCCAAAACTGGGCTGTGTGGTCCCCTAACTCTACCTGATAGGGAAAAGAAAAGTGAGTTGGGAATGAGGAAAGTATTTTTTTGGAGGGAGGTTTGTTTTAGGTTGGTTTTTGTTGTTGTTATGATTTGACTGTGATTCCTCCATAGAGTAAAACACAGTCAGTTCTTGTTGTTTGTGGTTATTATGTTCTTTAAAGAACATAATTGCTGTGAGCACTGAATTAGCAAATACTGAACTGTTGCTCCCACGGGAAATACAGAGGACGTTCCTTCGAGCCTGTGGTCACACATTGTCATAAAACAATCGATACACGACCTTGTTTTATGTGTGTTTCTGTTAAAGGACACCTTGTTTAACATACAGCATTGATTTATTAACATTGAATTCATGACCAACAGTACTATAACTAACGCTTGAACAAGGCTTATCAACACATCTCTTTTCTTCATACGGTACATCAAAGACTTCTTGCACTTAGGAATACTAGATGGCACTATATCACTGTAGTGAAATCAGCAGCAAAAAGCACAACATGAGAAAAATGTGGCACTAAATAGAACACACACCAAAAGGACAGTTGTGTACAATATGAGATATAAAACAGGAGCAAGGCAGAATGTCGCCTTGTTGAACCTCATCTGGGAACATGAACTTTGGGTGACAATTTTTTCGCTGCTCTCCACATGTCTGTGAAGGGACATGAAATAGCTGTGGCTATTGATTTGAGAGTTACAGGTAATTTTAGGGAGTAGGCAGGTCTGTAAATATGAAATCCATGAGTAATGATGACTGACTGTAGATTCTTGTCCCTAACTCTTAGGTGTACCTTTATTTAAAGTTAGGCTCACCAAGTAGATTTCAAGAGGTCTCTAAGAGTGGATCTAAAATGGAGAACAAATGACCTCAGGAGATGTAGATAAAATATGTCTCTTCAAACTGGTTTTGCACCAGTAATGAGACAGTGACGCAAGTCCTCTGTATCCTCGCTGTGCTTGTTTTTGTCCCTATTTTCATCATTCTGCTAGACGTGCAGTAATACTTTTCTGTGGTTTTAATTTGCATTTCTCTAATAGTACAGTTTGGCAGTTTTTTAAACAGTTAAATATTCAACTGCATTTATATATGACCCAGCAATTGTACTCTTTGGCATTTATTCCAGGGAAATGAGAACAAACTTGAACATTGTGGCACATCTATTTATAATAACCAAGAACTGGAAATAATCAGATATCTCTCCATGGAAAAATGGTTATTAAACAAAACATAGTACAACTTACTATGGATCACTACTCCCAATAAAAAGGAACAAACTGTTGATGCATTCAGCAACCTTAATGAATCACCAAAGAACTATCCTAAGTGAAAATAAAGCCAGTTTCCCAAGATTATATATGGTAGGATTCCCTTTATATAACATCCTTGAAATGAGAAAATGATAGAAATGGAGAATAGACTAGTGGTTGCCAGGGGGTTAAGGTGGGAATCCATGCAGGAAGGAAGTGGCTATAACGATAAAAGAGAAACATGAGGAATCCTTGCTGTGATGAAAATGCTCTGAATCTTGACTGTATCTATGTCAGTATCTTGGTTATAATATTGTCTTATGCTTTTGCAAGATGTTACCATTGGGGAATACTAGGCATAAGCACATGAGATCCCTCTCTCGTAGTTCTTACAACTCCGTGTGAATCTATGATTACCTCAGTATAAAAAGCTTATTTATAAATAAATGAAGGAAAAATAAAGACTTTCTCAAACCAGCCAAACTACACACCACACACACACACACACACACACACACACACACACACACACACAGAGTTTTATTCTTTCCAAGTTTGAACTGATTCTTATTCCTTCTTCAGTCATTCAACAAGCTGTTACCCTTTAAAGAGGCTAAGGAGAGATTAATTAGATATTAGTTCGTAAGATACATTTTTCAAATTTCTTAAAATATATGTACATGTACAATTTAGTGAAAGCAAAAAAAACTTTGATAGTAATAATATTGAAGATCCAAATCTGTATTAAGTCAAATATTTAGTGATATAATTTTCATTTCAAAATGGTTTTTACATAAAGTAAAACTGTGTACAATAAAGTAAATAATTTTAATGCAATTTATTCTTTTTTTGGATGAGGAAACTGAGGCTCCCTTCTTATGTGGAAAAATGGTTGGCATTGCCATTAGTGCAGAGTTGATTGGGGCTAAATTGATGCACTCTTTGGACCATAAAGTCAAGAGCAGATATGTAAAACCACGATGTGTCATTATGGATGATCCAGTTTCTTTTTAAATCAGAATCTCTGGGGCATGAACAAAGTCTTTATATAAGGTACTATTCTGTCTTATGGGCTCTCTCTATATGATTTTTCTATATATGCAGATATATAAGGAAAGGGCTGACAATAATCATGTAGGATACATAAAATATTATTTTCTTTCTGAAAGGAAAGGGAATGGGCCTCCTCTGGTTAAAATTTATATTAGATTTCGTAGACTGCTAGGGCTGCCATCACAAAGTACCACAGACAGGGACACTTAAAGAAAAGAAATATATTGTCTCACGGTTCTGGAGGCTACAAGTCAAAGATCAAGGAGTCAGTGGGATTGGTTGCTTCTGAGGCTGTGAGGGGCAATCTGTTTCATGCCTCTCTCCTAACTCTGGTTATTTGCCGGCCATTTTTGGTGTCCCTTGGCTTATAGAATCATTGCTCCAATCCCTGACTTACCTTCACGTGTTGTTCTTCCTGTGTGAGTCTGTCTTTGTGTTCAAATTGCTTCCTTTAATAAGGACACCAGTCATACTGGATTAGGGTCCCACCCTCATCCGTGAAGTATGACCTCATACTAACTAATTACATCTTCAATGACCCTATTTCCAAATATGACCACAGACTGAGGCACTGCAGGTTAAGGCTTCAACATAAGAATTTTGGGGGACACAATTCAACTCATAACAGATTTTCTCTCTCATTCTTACCCCATGGATAGGATATAACAGACAAAGCCCTCTTTAGGTTATCAAATAAATTGTGCCCAAGATGCAATGGGCGAAAAGTGTCCTAAGCAACATAAAGATAAGCAGCCATTGTAATAGATATATTTTTGGCCTTATTTTATCTAAATCAAAAGATTAAAAGTAAAACTCTGAATGCACTATATTTGCAAAATGTTTACAATTAGCCCCATAATTTTCTTTTGCATTAATATTAGAAGAAAACTAAACATTTTCTAAAACTTATTACTTTCTGAATGTTTTGAACGTGCTGATGTAAATTTTTCAACTCTAAGTGTAGGTGACCAAAATTATTAGAATGTTTAATCTAAAATAAATTTTAAACAAACAGCACTTTCATTCATTTCAAAAGTTATTGAAATAGGAATATCATTAACACTAAACTATTTAGTTTAGGAAAGCTAAATATATATTAAATAAAAATAAATATAGTAATACTTTTAAAGCTCCCTGATATTTATTATAAGTACATTGTTTAAATGTGTACATATTAACATTTATGAGAAGGTTATATACCCATATTCACACAGATTTGTCTCTATGTAATACAGAGCAATAATGAACTTATTTTTTAAATTCAAATCAGTTGTTTGAAACTGGGTAGACCAATGAGTTGATTGACTTCAGGGTTTTTTCCCCACTTTTGAAGCAGATATGCTGACATCCTGTAGACATATTCTGAGATGATTATTCAAAGTGCAAATTAATGTCATACCCCACACATTCAAACCTCTTCTGACTTTAGTTCTTTTGCTCTTTCTCACCCATGTGCACATCAAAGACATTCTGTAATGGGAGTAATGGAACGTTGGTTCCTAGGGAAGGTGAATGAAAATTTCTGCAGAATACTACTTTTTAGCCATGAAAAGACAAAAAACGGGTGGGTGGCTTCAAATGTAAGTAGGGGGAAAAACAAATTCTAAGAAATCAGAGGGTTTGGTACCCATTTGGAAAGACATGAGCTATTTTTAGCTGTAAAGAGGATGTGATGATTAACATGAAGCCTAAAGCCATATAAATCCAAATGCAGCACTTTTCAATATACAAATGCACTGCTAGACATTACCATGGTACCGAAATATGAGTAAGTAAAAGAAGATATTTTCCATTTTTAATTAAAAAAAGGCTTTCAATTATACCTGGAAGAAGCAGTATATTATTAGGTAGACAAGGAAATGTGATTTCAAAATTTTATTGACAAAAAGTAGTAAATATAAAAAATGTTGAAAAGAGCTTCCTAAAAGAATCATGTGTTTTAAATGTTGAGAGTGGCTGACTCCCAAATGTCAGTCAAACGGGTGTAATGGAGGTAGAATTATTTTATTTTGAGTCTTAATAGTTTTCAAGCATTCTAAGAATTCTCAGCTATCCACTTTTTACACATGGAATTCTGGAGCTAGTGACACAAGTGAATTATTTCCCTGAAAATGTCACCATGCAACTCAAGAAATTCTATACCATGACTATGCATGTATCTTGACATTGGGGCATTCCTGAACTTGATTCTTATACCTTTAGCTCTCTCTTAGCCTTTCATCCACTAGTGAACTTAAGGTCATAGCTTTATCCTGCAACTGTTTAGTTTTATTTTAATCAGGTTTCAGTTGAATAATTAAAAATTAAGAGATATTCCCAAACACATCTAGATAAAAGAAACAAAAAAGAAATGAAGAAAAGATAATGATAATTTAGCATAATGAGACAAATCTAAGTTTTTTAATCACAAATATTACTTAGCATCTCAGAGCCTTTGTTTTCTGATCATCTATAAAATATAGGAAAGTATTTTTACCTGGTTTGTTGTTATGGGAATTAGATGGCATCAGATGTAGAGTGTTTGGTGGATGCTACAAGTAACAATGTTGTTATGATTCTGGAAATATGTGACTATTGTTAGTTAATGATACTGCTCTTGCTCAGATTAAAATTGTGGATTAGCTCTTCACAAATTACAGGTTAAAAGTTATGTATATAATATATATTATATATTATATAAAAGTTATATATATAACTGTATATACATATACATATATTTATATATATATGTATATATACAGCAAAGCTACAACAAGGGTTTACCCAATTAATGTTGTCTTCAACTGAGAAGAGATCCCTTTTGGTGGAAAATGGTTAATCAAACCTGAGCACTCCCTTGACTAAAGCTTTATTGAAGGTGATCTTTTTTCTTTATAGTCACTTCGTTTATGATGCTAGATGGTCAACATATTCAATACATTTCACAAAATGTGAATGCAGTAGTCATCATTGTATGACACTGTCTAGTTAATTTACTCCCCAAGAGTTGGAGTTGAAAATGTCTTTTATCTTTTTATTCTTATTTTTTCATTTAATATCCTACAAGAAAAAAAAATCCTTCCAATATTTTTTTCTTTGAAGTATTGGGAAAAAATAATAAGAAAACTCAAAAATAACATGTTTGTTATAGAGAGGCTGGGCCCACCCTCAAAGTATCTATCCTGAGAAGACTGTAACTCTTGGAGTCAAAAATGTCTAACCTGGGTCCTGTCTTCTCCACTGGACCTATAATATAAATAAAGAATTATTGTCCATTATTATTTATAAAAGATACCTATTCCTAATGACTTTGTTAAGAAGAGTGGTTCATATAAGCCTTTTCTAGTGATCCTAACGTGTACATGTATACACTATTTCAAACTGTAATGACACTCCCTCTCTTTCTCTCTCTCTCTCTGTCCACCTCTCATTTTCTCTTTTTCTTTTCACAGTATAGGGTTGTATAACTCCAGCAATTTCAAAGAAAAGCTTCCCTGCCACCCTCCTCATAGAGCTGTTGACCTGGTATCCTGGACTTTGAGGAACTAAGATTGTCACTCACTTAAAGCAATTGCTTCTTTCACATTCTTTCTTCTAAGATAAAATTACCTGCCTTGTACTACCAAGGCAAAGGAGAATGTCAAAAGACTGTGGATCAAATATGTTAAGTGTGTTTCCATTTGGGAAAAGCCACTGAATGGAAAAACAAATATATTTGATACGTGATTCTGATTCCCCGGATTATAATTTTCCCGGGACATTTTATTTGGCGGTAAAACCGTGCAACTTGAAAAGTATAAGAACGACATTTTAAAAAAACTAAAAATGTTTTTTTTTTTTAAAAATCTTGTAATGTACAAAATATAAAAACACAAGTAAGAAAAGCTTCTCAGAATTAAAATTGGAGACCAAAGGAAAATAATTCCTGTTGATGAGTAATTACACGGATGACAATTTAACAGGGAAAAGCAAGAACAAAAGAGTCTGTCACCAACCAAGGGTAGCATGTGATATAAAACAGAAAACAGATTGACTAGCCGTTGAGAGTAGAATTCTTGACCATCCCATTCAGGGGCTAGCAAAGTAGCTTCTTAACTACTTTTTTAGCCCCTTAAAGCTGAAGTCTGAAGAGGCTCCCCTTTCTAACATGTCTACCAAGCTGAGTTGTTTTGTTTTTTTTTTAACTTTTCAATATAGTCATTTAAATAAATTAATCACTAAGCCCTAGGATGACATAAACGTGGTATTACTATTCCTAAACAACTCTCTTGTCACTGTTATTAATCTTCAAATGATGTCATTAGTCAATTTTGCTCCATATTGCATCAGTTCTGGGCTTACTGAAGGAAGAATAATTTCTTGGAGAACATTTGTACACAACTGAGGGAAAGTTGAAGCAGTTTATAGGATCACCATTCTACTGACAGGTAAATTCCTGAGAAGACTGGCTCTGGTTTGAGAAAAGCCAAATGTACTACCTCTCAATATCAGGTTAATATTATTAATAAGTCAGATTCCCAACTTGTGTATACATTGATAGAAATTAAATATTGGACTCACGTACCACCCAAAGACTGATGTTTAACGTTTGAATACTTTTCATAAGTGAATCACCCTGTCATTTTGGAGAAAATGACACCTTCTCTGCTGAACTAGAAATCAGATTTTCACATGTTTTTCATGATGGTTTTCAGAATGCTTGTGTAAAGATAATACCTATTGGTCATAATACACTTCAAAGTTTTTTTTTTTTCCTACTTTGTCTTCCAATAAGTTGTCCCGTTGACATTATTATCTAAACACTCTGTGCCTTTGTTTACTCTCAGAAAAGATAGTTCTAGTTTATAAACCACTTTGACCATCTTTCCAGGAACATTCTTTATAAATTGCAAAGTGTTCTCATTTGCATTTTGTCCTGTTGCTGTGAGGCGATATGTTCAGGGATTGAGTTTACAGTGGTAACATGAACCAAGTCTTTTCTAAACGGGAGGGAGACGCTCAATCATGCAGTGGCACAGAGTGACTCCAGCAGAATAATGCAGAGTTATCGGGATACTCTGTCTCGGCCATTATAATGACTCTGTTGGTGACAGCTTGTCTACTACCTGGTGGCATTAATAAAGAACACTGTTTCTGGGGGAAATTGTTGTGTTGGCCTTGCTTTCATGTGATATCCCAAGGCATAGACCCCGTTCAAATGAGTTACTTTGCATTTCACTACAGACAAAGGTACCTTGGAAAATGGTATTTGGGAGTTTCACTGTACCATACTTTGTTTTTATTCTTGAGAGGAAACTTCGATCATTTAAAGCAGATATTTGCCTTCATCCCCTACCCCCACCCAATAAAACAAACCTGGAAATGCCCATTTACATATTTTAGCTTAATCACGGTCAACTGTCTTCTATCGCCACTTCACTGCTCACAAAATACACATATTTAAAAGTGAAAATACTGAAATATGTCTTCAAAATACAGCTAATACCACCAGTAGAAAATTCACGTCACCATGTTCAGTAGACAAACGTGAGAAGCAATGTGGTGTCAGATTGGAAACTTGGGAGAGATTCTCAGAAATAAGTAACTTCAATAGGTTGCTTTTTGCATAGTGCAAAATTAAACTTCACTTTATTTAGTGGAAGTGACCCAATTCAATCTTATCTGGGGTCAACACAGCTGATTTCATTTGTGTTTGACCACTGCACATTTTGTCATCCAAAAAGTTAAGGAGAGGAAGTCAAGGTTATAATGAGAACTACGAAAGACAGATGCTACAATAAAGACTTTTTTTGTTGTTATTGTTTTTGTTTTGGTGATGATTTGATCCAAAAGAGAAGCACTTAGATTTGGAATTCACACACAAAATTCATACTTCAGAAGACCCAACAATAGTAGTTGTGAGACAGCTAATCACTGAAGACTTTCTGCATTATTTTTATAACAGAGAGATTGAGTGATTTAGATACTCTATCCTGCAAGTATACATTTAAATTCCTACACAGATAATGTGAAAAATATCCCAGATAATGGCATCCTATCTGCATGTCATTATTCAAATAGAAAATAGAATAAAGAAGAGGGAGAGAAAAGAAAAAAATAAAATACACAAGATATTCTGGTTATAGAAGCTCACTTATTTGGTGAAGTGATCAGGATACTTATTTATGAGTCCTGGGTGTGGCTACTTTGAAAACCAGTATGTTTGAGAGTAATGCCTGCCCAATTAAACATAGGAGCCCAATTCAAATGCAGCTTATATGAAAAGGAGAAACCCCTGAAAGCCACCAGAAGGCAACCTTGGCCCAGAGCAAGAGTGGAAGAGCAATGAATCAAATACAGCACACTAAAAATCCTAAAGAATATTCACTGAGGAGATAGGGCTTCTACCTCAACTGACAACCTGTGGGTGGAAAGATTTCTTAGCAGTTTCAAAAAATTATATAGGCTGGGCACAGTGGCTCATGCCTATTATCCCAGGACTTTGGGAGGCCGAAGGGGGCAGATCACTTGAGCCCAGGAGTTCGAGACCAGCCTGGGCAACATGGTGAGATGCTGTCTCTACAAATAATAATGATAATAAATTAACTAGGAATGTGGCATATACCTGTAGTCTCAGCTACTTGGGAGGCTGATGTGGGAGGATTGCTTGAGCCTGAGAAGTTGAGGCTGCAGTGAACCATGATTATGCCACTGCACTCCAACATGGGCAACAGAGCAAGACCTATATATATATATTATATATATAATAAAATTACATGTATTATAAAATTATATATACCATTTTTAAAAAAGAAAGAGGAAAAGTCTATAGATTGCCCCAACCTGCATAGCGAAATGCTAGCTTCTTGACTCATTTATCTTTTCTTTTTTTTTTTTGCATCTCACCTTATTTAATAGATTCACTAGTCCAGATTTTCCCTTTACTATATCTTTTTCTTTTTTTTATTTTACTTTAAGTTTTAGGGTACATGTGCACAATGTGCAGGTTAGTTCCATATGTATACATGTGCCATGCTGGTGCGCTGCACCCACTAACTCGTCATCTAGCATTAGGTATATCTCCCAATGCTATCCCTCCCCCCTCCCCCCACCCCACAACAGTCCCCAGAGTGTGATGTTCCCCTTCCTGTGTCCATGTGTTCTTATTGTTCAATTCCCACCTATGAGTGAGAATATGCGGTGTTTGGTTTTTTGTTCTTGTGATAGTTTACTGAGAATGATGATTTCCAATTTCATCCATGTCCCTACAAAGGACATGAACTCATCATTTTTTATGGCTGCATAGTATTCCATGGTGTATACGTGCCACATTTTCTTAATCCAGTCTATCATTGTTGGACATTTGGGTTGGTTCCAAGTCTTTGCAATTGTGAATAGTGCCGCAATAAACGTATGTGTGCATGTGTCTTTATAGCAGCATGATTTATAGTACTTTGGGTATATACCCAGTAATGGGATGGCTGGGTCAAATGGTATTTCTAGTTCTAGATCCCTGAGGAATCGCCACACTGACTTCCACAATGGTTGAACTAGTTTACAGTCCCACCAACAGTGTAAAAGTGTTCCTATTTCTCCACATCCTCTCCAGCACCTGTTGTTTCCTGACTTTTTAATGATTGCCATTCTAACTGGTGTGAGATGATATCTCATTGTGGTTTTGATTTGCATTTCTCTGATGGCCAGTGATGGTGAGCATTTTTTCATGTGTTTTTTGGCTGCATAAATGTCTTCTTTTGAGAAGTGTCTGTTCATGTCCTTTGCCCACTTTTTGATGGGGTTGTTTGTTTTTTTCTTGTAAATTTGTTTGAGTTCATTGTAGATTCTGGATATTAGCCCTTTGTCAGATGAGTAGGTTGCGAAAATTTTCTCCCATTTTGTAGGTTGCCTGTTCACTCTGATGGTAGTTTGTTTTGCTGGGCAGAAGCTCTTTAGTTTAATTAGATCCCATTTGTCAAATGGAAGAACATTCCATGCTCATGCGTAGGAACAATCAATATTGTGAAAATGGCCATACTGCCCAAGGTAATTTATAGATTCAATGCCATCCCCATCAAGCTACCAATGACTTTCTTCACAGAATTGGAAAAAACTACTTTAAAGTTCATATGGAACCAAAAAAGAGCCCGCATCGCCAAGTCAATCCTAAGCCAAAAGAACAAAGCTGGAGGCATCACACTACCTGACTTCAAACTATACTACAAGGCTACAGTAACCAAAACAGCATGGTACTGGTACCAAAACAGAGATAGAGATCAATGGAACCGAACGGAGCCCTCAGAAATAACGCCATATATCTACAACTATCTGATCTTTGACAAACCTGAGAAAAACATGCAATGGGGAAACGATTCCCTATTTAATAAATGGTGCTGGGAAAACTGGCTAGCCATATGTAGAAAGCTGAAACTGGATCCCTTCCTTACACCTTATACAAAAATCAATTCAAGATGGATTAAAGACTTAAACGTTAGACCTAAAACCATAAAAACCCTAGAAGAAAACCTAGGCATTACCATTCAGGACATAGGCATGGGCAAGGACTTCATGTCTAAATATCTTTTCTTCTTTCATTGTTTGATTAAAAAGAATAAACTGTTGACGAGCTCCTGGATGAAAAACTGTACCTGCTTCAGCAGTACAGGATAACAAAGATGTGAAGAGTGACAGGAAGCATGAAATCCTGATGAGCACACTTCCTTGATACCCTCAGAAAGATGTCCTTCTTGGGAAGACGGTTAGCTCCAGTGACCTTATGCTGTAACATATAAAAGAGAGAATTGTTCCAGAGCATGTTCCTCTGTGTTGCCAATAAACTAACTTTTTGCTTGCTCCAGTGGGAGGATGTATTGAGGGGGGGTTAAGTGGAGTATGTATGAATAAAATGAAAATAATTGGATCTATGGTATACTCTGCATTGATGGGCAAATGCTAATATTATTTGAAAGCCCAGTAAAGGAGAGTGAGGATGAGAAAAGAAAGAATTCAACTTATAAAATAAAAAAATCAAAATAGCCATGTCAACTCAGCCAGCCTCCTATTAATTTGGAAAAAATCCAATTTTAGCTGAGCCATCCAATTCCAAGGATTAACTTAAAATTAAGTCATTCCTAGGTATATCAGGGGTTTTCTAAGTGTATTGGCTTCTTACTTTCAAGAAAGCAAAATCTATTTGGGCGCTTATATCCTTACATGTTCTTATTTATTTTTGTGAATTTAGTAGAGCCTGGACTAGTATTCAAAGTTGTTTCAGGAGAAAATCAAAGCAAATTTACCCGAAGAAAGGTGTGTGCCAAGTAGTCATTCATTAAAGCAAACCAAACCAGGCCAGGTTCAGTGGCTCCCGCCTGTAATCTCAGCACTCTCGGAGGCCAAGGAGGGTGGATCGCGAGGTCAGGAGTTCAAGACCAGCCTGGCCAACACAGTGAAACCTCGTCTCTACTAAAAATACAAAAAATTAGCCGGGCATGGTGGTGGGCATCTGTAATCCCAACTACTTGGGAGGCCGAGACAGGATAATAGCTTGAACCTGGGAGGCGGAGGTTGCAGTGAGCTGAGATCGTGCCATTGCACTCCAGCCTGGGTGACAGTGCAAGACTCCGTCTCAAAAAGAAAGCAAACCAAACCAAAGCCGAAGCTCTAGCAGATGATTCTGATTCTTCTGGTTGATTTGCAAGTTCTTTATTTCCATGCTACATATTCCTCTGAACCAATACTTTTTAACCAATTTATTTGTATCATTTGGCATATTTTTCATTATTGTTATAATTTTCAGGCCTAAGATATATCTCCTTAAAGTTTTCACTGAGCTATTGAGGGATATATGTGTGTGTGTATATCTATGTGTCTAACATTTATCTATCTATCTATCTATGAACTATCACCTAGTTCAACATAACATAAAATTATATCATTTAGAAGTAATAATATTACAATATTTAATCCAATTTGATGTCTTAACGCAGCTCTTATGTTTTGAAAATATGGTGTGAAAACATATTCTCATAATTTTCTATTCAATTCCAAGTCTATTAAAAAGCTGAGAGCTTAAAGCTGTGCACATTGAATATTGCAATAAATGGCTAGAAACAAGTTTTGCCACAGACATATAGAAAACAAAGGGAAACAGAATGAAGTAAATTTCAGTAGCAAATATCAGGCAACAACATTGTTTTCTTGCCTCAAATGAGTCTAGACTGAACACAAATACACACATTCACCAAAAAAGAGTGTGTTAAAAATACATTCTCTTTTATTTTTGGCATTTGAGAGTTCAATATTTAAAAATCCGGTATTACACAAATATTTCAGGAGGTACCTCCAAGGGATAATTAGTAAATGATTACTGGGCACTTACTGTGGAGCAGGCATATTACAAAGAACTGGGTTAAAATCATTCTACCATTTGGTAGAATGTATGAAATCGTAGAAAGTTTGGATACTATCTTCTGAAAACTGCTTAACAGTAGGTACATAATTCATCAAGTAATAACAGAACCTCTTTTCCCTGTATCTAATTGTAAAAGTTTACACGAAAAATAAAACACAACCCACAAACAGAAGATAAACATAGGAAAAAAAACCACACCTAAATTTCTTATGCAAAGAGTTAGACAGTTTTGAGAGGTATGAGGATACCAAGAAAACTGAGTACCAGCTCAAATGTTTGAGGATTTTAACAATCTCTGTGCTGTGGTGACTTCATTAGTAACAGACCTCACACATTTCTTAGCTTGGAAAATATGACACAGAAGGGAATCAGGCGCTCACCATGGTTTCCCACTTGAAGGGACATGTCAGCTCAAGAAATGGATAAACTTATATTCATAATCATTTAAAACAGGGAAGTTTGAACTGAATAATGTGCACCTCAGCCTCCTAATTAGGCTAGGACTACAAGAATGTGCTGCCACCAAACCCAGCTATTTTGTTTTATTTCATTTTTTAGAGACAGAGTCTTACTATGTTGCCAAGGCTTGTCTTGAAATCTTGGCCTCAAGCAATCCTCCCACTTCAGCCTCCCAAGTAACTTTGTTGTCTTTTTCTTTTACTTAGAGATTATCTGTGTACATTGACATCTGTATCTGTATACCTAATAATGTCGATGTTAACACACAATAAATAAAATACAACATAATATGGAAAATGTGTGTAGAGTTTCAGAACTGATACAGTCCTTCACTCTTATTTAATGTTATTGTCAATGTTAAAATGATGATGACGTGTCTAACTCAGGCTTTCTCGCTTCAAAAGGGTGAAAGGGATCATGGAAGAGAAATAAACAGGTTAGAATAAAGTTATGAAAAGTGAGGCCTTTGACACTGACCACACTTCCTTCTGGGGCCATTTTCTTTAGGTGGGTCATATAGTAGCATGTCCATGGGTCAGACCGTTGAAGGGTCTAGTTTATGAGCACTGTAAGGCAAGGTCAGAATTATTTTTAAAAACTCTTATACATCAATCTGACCATCTTGATCCTAGGTCACAAAAACATTTTCTGTGTTGTAGAAAGTTATGTTATTAGTTATGTTATTTGATCTTAGTGTGGATTTCTGGAGTAATTTTGTTTAATACGTGTATTAACTAAGTATATTGGAGTCATTTCTGATAACTATGGAGTTACTGATATTCCATCTGTTATATTAAATAGCCCCAAAAGCACAGTACTATGAAATAGGACAGCCGCAGGAACACTGCTGTTCTACCTTTACATAATCTATGCTTCATCCAATTAATATAAAAGGACTTTAATTAACTGACATGTTTTCAGGTTGTGCAATGTGTTCACAGATCACGATGCTAGTTTGCTTATGCCTGCACAAACTTGGCTTTTCCTCTTGGCTTTTGTCTTTTTCAGCCCCACCCTTTTGCTTCTTTGAAGTCATCGCTTTCTTAATCAAGTTAAGAATACTATAAGTAGGGCATTGCTGACATGGTATCCATCTCCTTTTTTTTTTTTTTTTTTGGCTAAAAAAAGAAAGAGCTTCCTCATCTAGTGGGAGCATCGCTCCATCATGCTCCAGATCCCGTTCCTGCTCCCACACACCTAGGGAGTTGCACTTGTTTTATGTAAGAGCTGCTTTCTAAGCAGCCTGGACGCTGAATGGCTTTCTCAAAAGTGAAAAATGGGCACTATTCTGATAGTCCATCTTTCCATCAGTTCAGCTAACTTTCACTGTACACCTTGCATTCATTGGTCACTGTGCAAAAAACCAGGGATGAAAAAATTCAAAGCCAGTAACATATAAGGCACAATTCCTCTACTCCAGGAGTTCACAGACTGGTGAAGGCAGACACAGGCAAAAGAGTAGAACGCAGTCCAATAACTAAAGAATTGATCCCTGCTTACTAGCTGTGTGACCATAGCTAAGTTTCTTATCTCTGTACCATGAGTGTAATGGAGGCGATGTCAGTCCATATCTATCTTGTCTGTTGGTTGTGAAAATTCAATGAGTTTATGCAATTAGCATGTAATCAGCTCTCAACCATGATCTGATGTTATGATGTGATGGACATTCAGATGGGTGACGTGAACCCTATGTAGCACGGATAAAGCTGAAAGGGAACGAGAGGGGGTACCTCTGGTTGTTGCTCAGGAAGCTTTAGAGATATATGGCTATTTAATTTGCAAATAATACTTAGAACTGCAAAAACACGTTCACCTGGTCTTGTTGAGAAAGAAATCATAAGTCCCCTGACTTAAACTCTCTCAATTGATGAAGTGACCAGGATTACTCAGAGTGCAGTTATTGGCACCCCCGAAGCACCAGAGTCCAGGAAAGATGCTTATCAATCTTTTGCCATTGGCTTCTACTTGCAGGTGCCTTCTCTACTATTCAATCATATACGATCATTGGAAAGACAAATGAACTCAAGAAAAGCAGCGAACAGTACCGCGGTTTTTAAATCTGTCACTGTTCTTCCCCCACTTCAAAGCTGACTTGACAACTGCATTTATTTCACATTGCAATTGCTGCAGGTTAATAATATTGTTTTATCAGGAAACATTTATCTTGAGGAAGAAAGTTATCCTAATACAGCAGATAACTTATCCAAGGACAAATAGAAAGGGGACTGTGTCTAGAGGGTAATGCTAATGCCTGGCATGCTATAAAAATAAATGAAATCTGATTAACACTATTGGAGGGAAGAATAAGTCATCGTTTCTATGAAATATTATTTTCCTGATTGGAACCATTTCCATTTTCGTCAGCTTAAAACATTGCATTAAAGATGAGATGACTTTAAAACGGTGACAGCTATCTCAAGCCCTGTGATTATAAATGGTGTTATAGGCTTGTAATCCTATGGGTTTAGACTAAAGTATTTTCTTCATAAATTGAAAGAGAAACACACTAGGAATTCAGAAGATTTTAATTAAAGTTGTTCAAAAAATTTAATGGGAATTTTAAAGGCTGGCTCACTAAGTAGTTTTGATAATGAATTTAATTTATAGAAGAAAGTTCTTGGCAAATTTGGTAATGCCAAAAAGAGCCTACATATGCACAATGTATATTTTCATGGAAGCATTATTATTAAGTGTCCTGCTTTTACTGGTTGACATACGTTAGTTCATTTCAGCTTCATTCAAATATGTAGATTAAACCTAACACCTATAAAATGGTAACAATTGCTTTTTAAGGGAGAAAGACCACAAAGGGTTAGATAGCACTGTCTTCATGATAGAGCTAATTTCTTTTAAAAAAATAATTCATTAATGTATAAAGTGCAAGCAGTTTGGGTCACAAATTAGGAAAGAATGCACCTGGACGTGATTTATTTTGAATTGGACAGCTGAAACACATCCCGTATAAAATCACTCATTCCTGTTTTTCTATAAGTTTGCCTGGAGCATTGTATGGCATCTCTCAGAATGTGTTGCACAACTCAGCAGAGCCAAGGCTAAGCAGTGCAGAAGACAGGGTGAAAGCTGGTATTGCGCAAAAAAAAAAAAAAAAAAAATTAACAAAAACAAGCAGGTGGGTTGTTTAGAGTGATGCAGGTGTGGTTTCAGTAATAAATCAACCCACTTATAATGATAATAGCTTGTGTTTATGCAAGTTCTTTCTTTATGAAGCCCAATTTTTTAAAAAAAATATGATTCTTTTAATTCAAAATGCATCCCTGTGATTAGCAAGGGCATAGGTTTAATTAACTCTGTTTTATGGATGAGGAAACTCACCATGTCCTCTGTTGATAGGCAAGTATTGCAATGTGCTGGATTCAACATCCTGTTCTGCGGCTTAGTTAGACCTAAGGAAAGCAACAGTAAGTCTCTACTGGTCACCAAGGAGATGACGGAAAATGGGACAATGAAGACAGAACAGAGAAAGTCATTAAAAAACTGTGCATTGGGGCACCAGTGTGTCTGTTGCCAGCTCAAATGAGGTTGGAACTTCTATGCTGGAAAACCCAAAGTCTAAGTCTTTCTTTTAAACAAAAAAACAAAAACCCAAAGAACCAAGATGTAAATAATTGAACTGCTATAGATATTCCTAAGCTTTAATGCACATAAATCAACAAAGAATAGTTGTATTTTCATAAAACTCAAATTTGAGTTTTAGCCTACTGAAAGGTGTTACCCACATATAGAAAATCAGTCATTCTGTTCATGAATACTTCAACTGGCTCTGAAGTTTCTTAAGAAAAAGAGAGAAAAAATGGGTTATTTTTTCCTACTCTGAGAGCATTTGTATCATTTTCCATTCAACAAATACTTTGCTTTGTGCCAGCCATTAAATAAGAAACCACTCTTTTGGGAGGAGGTTCAAGTGCTTTAGTTACTATTTAATTTGTTTTGTTTTTTAACTTACAAAATGGAATCCCTTCTGAAACTTCCATTGCAAATGCACAATTCATAATTACGTTACTGTGGGTGTGCGGAGTTGGTGAGGAGTCACAGTGCAGAGTTAAAGTGGCCTATTTTTTGAGATAGAGTTTTGCTCTGTAGCCCAGGCTGGAGTGCATTGGCGGGATCACAGCTCACTGCATGCAACCTCCAACTCCTAGGCTCAAGTGTTCCTCCTGCCTTGGTCTTCCAAAGCTCTGGGACTATAGATGTGAGCCACTGTGCATGGCCCAGCCACTCCTTTTAAATGTGAGAAGGTGAAGAAAGACAGCTTCCACACTGGGAAGCAGGTAAATGTCCCCCCCCCCCCCTCCTTCCACATCCCCAGCATCCATCATGAGGTAATTTTCAAAGTAGGTTCTTCAAGCCAACTCTTGTATTCATTCATTTTTGTTCAACAAATATTTCAGAATCTCCTCCACATTAGGCGGTCCTTGAAGGGCTGGTGTACAGCAGCTAACAGCACAGACACAGCCTTTGCTTTATGGAGCTGATCGTCTGGTGTGTAATGTGGCATTTAATCGATAGAATGATTTGTACACCCAGAAACATAGCCACTCTTACTCTGCATATCTAGGATGGCATATCAGTGATGCATCGAATCTCAATAAACTTTGATAACAAGTTTAGTAGACCAGGTCTTCAGTTCAACATTAGGGAAATGCTCCAATGAGTGATGCTTTGCATCTTATATTGTCTTGTAAAGACAATCAATAGAGCATTGGCAGAAGGAAATTTACCAGTGAATAAATGATTACTCCTATTTTTAAGTGCCATCCTTTCAGTTCTGTAAAAAATATGAAATTATTTTATGAAATTGTCTGAGATCTGTCCTTCTACGTCTCTCTGTGTCACCTCCATACAGTGGCACTCTTGGAGAAAAAAGATGATGTTACAATGAAAAGACTTATCTGTGACCCCTTCCACCAAGGTACCCACAACTTTCTTCACCATTGCACATGGTAGGGCTCCTGTGAAAATCTTTTTAGGTGGTCATAGTAAATTATTTGTAGGTGGTGGTTGGTCTGAAAACTTTTTTTTTTTTTTTTTTTTTTTTTTTTTTTTACTGCAACAACCTAACAGGAAAACTAATCAGAGATCATGAGGAGAGTGGTATATCAGTCAGGGACTAATCAGGAACATAATCCACTTGAGAATTTAAAATAGAGAGGGCTTAGGCTGGGGAGTTGGTGACAGCATAATGGGAAATCTACAAAGCAAACAGGAATAGGGAGACAACCCAGAGCCCATCTAGGCTGGCAGAGTCATCATCTCTAGGCTGGAAGGTCAGAAGAAGGTGGTGTTAGTGGAGCCAGGAGATGCACAGTCTCCCAGGGGAAGCTGGAGCTAGGGTGTACATGCCAGGCACAAGCTGGAGTCACAGATGCCACACTGACTATCACATTGTCATCATACTCAGAGAGAGAAAGGTGTATACACCCAGTATTTTCTTATGTTTTCTCTATACTTCCATATCCCCACCCCCATTATCCCCCGAGACATTCCCAGTTGGAAGTCAGTTGCTTATGGGAAACTGGCTGCAGGGGGATCAGCCCACCTGTAACACACGGAAAGGCAGAGAAACAATGAGTCATGGATTTGAGTGCAAACAAGCCCAGTCCTGCTACAGAGAGTTACGGAAAAAATCTCACTGTTGAAGAGAGACATCTATAAGAGAGGTGAGGAAAATGACTGATAGATCCTTTTACAATATTCTAGGGTAGTCTGTCTGTGGGAGGGGGCAGGAGTCTATGGGAACTCTCTGTACCTTCGACTCATTTTGCTGTGATCCTAAAACACTCTAAAAGATAAAGCCTATTAAAAACATATTTTTAAAAAACTGACAGGTGTTCTTAAGATTAACTAATGAGTTCAGAGAATAAATTGAGGATGAGATGAATTTCTAAAAACAGCAGCACCATACATCAAAAATACCCAGCTAGAAATTATAAATTTTTAAAAGATCACAGAAGATAAACAAAAACAAACCCCTCCCCATCTTATCTTTATTATTTTTTCTTATTTGTATAAAAATAAGGAGATATAAATAAATAGAAAACACTACTGAAATATTTACAGGGATTCATGAAAACAGATTTTAAGAAATTAAGATACATATTGCCAGGTGTGGTGGGTCACGCCTGTAATCCCAGCACTTTGGAAGGCCAAGGTGGGTGGATCACTTGAGGTCAGGAGTTTGAGACCAGCCTGGCCAACATGGCAAAACCCCATCTCTACTAAAAATACAAAAATTAGCCAGGTGTGGTGGCACAAGCCTGTAATCTTAGCTACTTGGGAGGCTGAAGCAGCAGAATCACTTGAACCTGAGAGGTGGAGGTTGCAGTGAACTGAGATACTGCCACTGCACTCCAGCCTAGGCAACAGAGCAAGACTACATCTAAAAATAAAAATAATAATATACATATGTTGTTTCTGGGTGGCAGCACTCAATATAGTTACTATATTTTCTTCACAAATGAATATATAGTAATCCAATCTGGAATAAAATTCTGACAGTGGTATTCTCTTTTTTTGTTTGAGCTTTTGTTTGGTTTGTAGAACTTACATGAATTTGTTTATGAATCTAGAGAAAAAATAAAAAGAGAACAGCTAAATCATGGTTATCAAGTGATAGAGTCCAAGAGTCCAACAATATAAAACATGAATAAATGCACCAAAGCTATAGTCACTAAAATAGGAAGATTTTCTTGCAAGACGAAATGGGTAGCTCAGTGGAATCAAAGGCAATGCCAAGCAGACACACACACACACACACACACGATTTAATGTTTTTAAACAGTATGAGACTTTTTTGAGAAGGGAAAGTGACATTTAATAAATGGCATAAACCATAGTGGAATTTTAACTATTGATAATAGAAAAATACTTATTAAGTAAAATAAGTATGTAAATATATCATCTAAGTATATATATATATATTTATATTTATATAGGTAAAAGAGAAGAAAAATACTTACATTGAGTTAGAAAATGCAAGATTCCAAGTTATATCAAAAATGTATATTTATGTACTTGTAAAAACAAATATGCATATGAAAAGATGTGAAGAAGATATTTCAGGCTGGGCACAGTGACTCAAGCCTGTAATCTCAGCACTTTGGAAGGCCAAGGTGGGTGGCTCACTTGAGGTCAGGAGTTTGAAACCAGCCTGGGCAACATGGTGAAACCCCATCTCTACAAAAAATAAAAAAATTAGCTCGGCATGTTGGCACATGCCTGTAATTCCAGCTACTTGGGAGGCTGAGGAAGGAGAATCACTTGAATCCAGGAAGCAGAGGCTGCAGCGAGCCGAGAACATGCCACTGCACTCCAGCCTGGGTGACGGAGCGAGACTCTGTCTCAAAAAAGAAAAAAACAAAAGAATTAAAGAAAATATTTTAAATATATGAAGAGTCTTTCATATTTTTAGCTTCTGGACAATTTATTTCCTTCTACCTTCCATATTTAGCCTAATGCCATGTATTATTGAGTGATTTACAGATTTAGGGCACATTGTTAATAATAGGTAGTATTTGTTGAGTCCTTAATATGTGGCAGACAGTGTTCTAAATCATTTGACATGAACTAATTTAATCCTCTTAACAAATTTACAAGGAACATATTCCCCTCACTTCATTATGTAAATAATAAAACAAAAGCCTAGAAGGGTTAGCAAGTTGCAGATCATATAGTCACTTTGCAGCAGGTCTGAGATTTGGGTCCCAGAGAGGCAGCTCCAGCCACCATGCAACCGAATCCTGCGCAGCACAGTTCGGTGTCATTCAACAAGACGGTATCCATGTTGATTAAGGAATCTTAGCTCTTAAAAGGTTCTACGAATTACATTTTTTCCACCCAAGCCTATGATCACTCAGTTGGCTGTGTAAGGTAGTTTGATAGGAGCTCGCATTATTTTTCTGATTCAAAGAGAGTCTTTTCAAGCGCTACTTAATTCAGGATGAGAGGTCAATGATTTCCCCGAGTCCAGGTGTGCTTCTACAGACTCCTCCTTGTCCTTGAGCTCTCACGAGCCATCACCCTTGCTTCCAGAAAGTTGAGTTATTTGTGTGCTCTAGACTGTGAAATCAGAGACGGTCCATTTCTATGGGAACCAGTTTATTTCATCCAAGAGGGCAGTGAAGAGTCATTTGTGAACCCTACAGAGTGAAGAACAAGTTCACCACACAGCATATCCTCAATCTGAAACATCTTTTCTTTCATTTCCTTTTTCCCCTTCAGAAATGTCTCCTTTCAATCCTGTGTAGCTGAAGGAATCGCAACACCTTTCCCCAACAGTCTAGATAAACTCTCTCCTGATCCATCTTCACAGTATCTAAAACCAGGGAACACGTTCTCCTCACAGAATACAGGTAGACACATTTTGTAGCCTTCCTCATCCCCTGAAGTAGAAAAGACAACATCAGAATATATAAGAATGTATTGCTTTAATAGAAGGGTCTTGAATCTTTGGGCAGAAATGGGAAGAAGGGATAAGGATAGATGATTAAGAAAACCAATATTATTATTCTTGTCTTTATTTCTGAATGTCTCAGATTTCTCAGTTGCCCAATTCTAACTGTAATTCAAGAATAAGAACAAAATACTGGTAACACTAACTTTGTATATTGTTGTTTGCTGTTGAGCCTTTAAAATGTAAAGACCAATATTCTATTTCTAGAATAGAAACCTACAGTTTTTCAATCTAAGTATCTTTAAACATTTTTATAATAAGTGATATAGACTCCTGTAGAAACCAGTGCTTGACAAGAGATTTCAGTATTACCTAGAAATAATACTTTCCATGTATTTTGTTATGAAAATATTTAGTTTTGAAAAATAGGCTCTGAAGTGTTTACCTATAAACAGAAAACAACACAATGGACTTATCATGATCTAGTCGATTCCTGAAATTAAGAGGATTGTGAGTACATGCAAATGTTTTCCAAAAGTTTATTTTGGAGATCAAAAACATCATCAAAAATGTGAAAGTAATGTTTTTCAAGAAAGGCCTTTTGCCTACTATCCTATCTCTAAATTTTAATTTGGTATAATGACATTTAAGAGACTAGGTATAAAAATTATTTCATCATGGCATGAAATCAGTGTACAAATTATGTTATCATGGGATGAAATTAAACATCTAGTTTATAGAAATAAGGTAAGGAAAAAGTAAAAATATGTCAGCTGATTCATAAATGTAATTGGATGTGAAAACTTCAATATAAAGGACTACATAAAAGTGTTAAAAAGTTATTTTAAAAATTCTCGAAACAAATGTCTTTATTAACTTAAACTTACAGGGAATTACATTTTAAGATTTCCAGCAAGCTTAGAAAATTCACGATTGTCTCCACTATATAAAACCTTCCAGGTAGATTTTTTTGTGATATGTTTTATAAATACGGAAAAGGACTAGTCAATTACTCTACTTTAAGGTAAGCTGTACCTAACCTATCACAGAGTTGTACGTATTTCCCAAAACATGTACTTCCTGCAGATTAATAAAAGTGCTCAGAAGGATAAGTGGGTTCACCATGAAGCAGATTGCAGTGTACGCCATTCCTTTTGGACTTTTTCCCAACAGATTTAATTACTCAAGTGCCTCAAGCATATTTGCTTTTATATTGGTTTGGCAAATAAGTGGCACCATTGATTTAATAAACATGATGATAGCTCTCTCTGTGCATCATCTTAGAACTTGAGACAGTAAAATATCGTTTTCAGGTACAAGTTTATGCTAGTCTTTCGTGCATCAAAAGTATCTGCCAACGTTCCGTGTAGTGACAACAGAGGCTGGAACCCATCAAACAATCCTAAAATTCAACTAATACCAAAGAATGTTCATGTTAAAAAGTTAAGAATTTTTTGGTGAGAAAATGAAGGATGCCAACTTAAGAAATATACTATTTCCAAAGATTTTAAATTGTGATATTTATATTGACTTGTAGTACAAGAAACTCAAATTATGTTCATTATAACTACTTTTAGATTTCTTTTTTTTTTTTGCATTTGTTTTAGTGTAGTTCTTACTTTGAGGCATTTGTATTCCTAGATTGTAAACGTTTTTAATTAGCGTTGCTATCTAGCTACCTTTAATATGGTCTATGGCTATCCTTCTAATTATCTTCTTACAACCACTATCAGCCTTTTAAATTTTCTTTTATGTCAGTTTGAAAAGTGACAATACATTTAGGGTTAACTCTTATTTTAGCCATTTTGATTACACAATTCGCCTTTTGACCTTCTGGAAACCACATGATCCTCACTGAAGACCTTCGCATAATTACCTATCCGATTTTCTTATCTCCCTCTTCCTTTATATTTTTTCCCCCTTAAAGTTTCTTAGTGAAATACAACCATGGTCATTGTCAAAGTCATGGTAACCTTGCGAGGACTCTCCCCATGGTCTCCACAGATAACTTACTGCTTTATCTCAGTGTCATGCCATTCCTAAAACTATCGTCATGCCTTTTTATTCTTTAACGAAGTGTTAATTAACTTAACCAACTTTTCCTTTCATTCATTATTTAAGACGGAATAAGACTCACATGAAGAGTTTAATTCATATACTTCATTATGTAGTTAGTTCCTTTACACATATATGATAGATTTTTATTCCATGAAAGAATTTACTGCATTCAGAATCTTTCCATTTTTAAAAGGCTCATAATCACATTTACATCATAAAAGTTGAATTACACTGAACTAGGGAGAAATTTTAGACTGTAAATTCACATATCAATGCTGACATCACCCTTTAACTACAAACTTATGTATATAACCGCTAATGGACATTTCTACTTGGATTTTTAATAGACTTCTCAAAATTAACAGTGTCGAAACCTAATTTTCTGTCTTTCACTCTAAACTTGTTTCTTTACAAGTCCTCTTCGTCTCAGTAAAAGGCAACTTTAATCTTCCAATTGCTATACCAAACATTTTTACTTCATCCTTGATTTACATCTTCTTTCATAAAGCATATCCAACTTATCAGTAGATCTTGTCAACTTTACCATCAAATCATATCCCAGATCCGACCAGTCCTTACCACCTCCCTTATTACCAACCTGGTCCAAGACACCATCATCTCTTGCCTGAATAATTTCAATTAACCACTGCACAAGTCAGCTGGGGATTCTCCTTTATGCCTTCTCACTCTGAATCCAAGCTGCTGGAGCAGCCACAACCTCCTATATATCTAGCCTCTGGAAAAGAAAGTTTTATCAAGTCTTACAAGAGATTAAATCCTCCAGCAGACAGGTGACAGGCATGACTCTGTTCTTAGTCACCTGACCCTATCCAAGAATGTAGAAGCCAGGGTGTGCCATCCTGGCATGTGCCTAGAAGACAGAGAGCCATAAACCTTTGTTGAAAAAGTTCTCGTTTTAAATTTAACAAAAGAAAAAGATGAATTGTTCTTTGGCCATAAACAAGTAGCCTTAAAACAATTTTAAACTTTTCCCAATACATAAATCCATTATGGACAGTTTAATATATTGTCCCAAGAAATGCACTTATACACCATCAAAAAGCTATATATTTTGTTAACTTGTAGGGTTATGTGAAGGTAGCTAAATTCTACTGAAAAAAAGCCACATTATTTTTTGAAATGTATAGAATTCATCTAAGGTTTTACAATACTTTAAGGTAAGCTATACCTAACCTATCACAGAACTGTATGTATTTCCCAAAACATGCACTCCCTATAGATTAATAAAAGTGCTCAGAAGGATAAGCAGGTTCACCATGAAGCAGATTGCAGTGTACACCATATAGTACGCCAATAGTGTGGTAATTATATGACAGCTCAATCATAGAGTTTATGCTTAACACATGTATGTATATTTTTTTATATATATATACACACATACATACACAGCTTTTATATATAAAACACATAAATACATATATGTAAGTATATATCTATATATATACATGTACCGCTTGATTAAGGAATATATACCGTAAAATCCACCCACTGTAACTATATAGAGTAATGATTGTTTACTAAGTTTATACAGCTGTTTAAGCATCAGCACAATGCAGTCTGAGAGCACTTCTATAACCTTATCAAGTTTCACATGACACTTTGCAGTCATTTTCTGCTCCTACCCATGGCCCTGGTGATATGGTTTGGCTGTGTCCCCACCCAAATCTCATCTTGAATTATAACTCCCACAATTCCCATGTGTCATAGGAGGAGCCTAGTGGTAGGTGATTGAATTACGGGGGTGGGTCTTTCCTGCTCTGTTCTCGTGATAATGAATGAGTCTCATGAGATCTGATGGTTTTTAAAAAGGAAGTTTCCCTACACAAATGCTCTCTTTGAGTGCTGACATCCATATAAGATGTAACTTGCTCCTACCTGTCTTCCACCATGATTATAAGGCTTCCCCAGCCATGTGGAACTGTGAGTCCAATAAACCTCTTTCTTTAGTAAATTGCCCAGTCTCAGGTATGCCTTTATCAGCAGCATGAAAACATACTAATACACCTAGGCAGTCACTGATCTGCTTTCTCTATCTATAATATTGCTTTCTTCCAGGAATTTTAAATATCTTGGCATCCCCTGTGCATATAAAAACAAAATAATATATCCCTAAAACTCATAAACCTGTATTTCAAAACCACAGTAGATAGTTGTCCCCAGTATCAACGGAGGGCAAAATAAGAAGACATATATTTATCCAGGAGGAATTTTATTCACATAAAAATAACTTCCTAACCCCTAGTGAAATATTTTAGAGCATTATATATGATTATTAAGAAATATTTATTAAAAATATGTCAGTAGGCCGGGCACGGTGACTCACATCTGTAATCCCAGCACTTTGGGATGCTGAGGAGGGTGGATCATGAGGTCAGGAGTTTGAGACCAGCCTGGCCAATATGGTGAAACCCCGACTCTACTAAAAGAAGTACAAAAACTAGCTGGACATGGTGGTGCATGCCTTTAGTCCCAGCTATTCAGGAGGCTGAGGCAGGAGAATCACTTGAACCTGGGAGGAAAAAACAAAGGAAAAAAAATGTTAGTTATATATTTTTAAAGGCTGAAAAATAATCACATCTCAAATCAGAGTTCCCTTCCAATTTTTTAATATCCATTGTATAATATCCAACATCATTTACTCACATATTTTATAGCTGGAAATCTTGTCAAGTAAGAGACAGCAATCATGCACCGTTGAATCCATACCCGCCACCACAGAGAATCTTAGCACTATTATCTCCCAAATCATGAAATGAATGATGAAATTTAAAGACACCCTTGAGTACCCTAAAATATCTCCCACACTGTTTTGACCACAAGGCCTGAAATAGTTTCTTTTATGAAAAAAGAAATTTTTGAGCTTCAAATAATGTTAAGATAGTTTATGTGTTACCAGTGTCTCCTCTTATATTTTCTTAGATGATAGATGTATGGACTATAATATATTTATTCAGGTAGGTAATCATCAAAAAGTACAAACAGGTATCTACAAGAAATGTGAACTTTTCTGTTCATCTGATAATGTACCTTAGAAGACATAGAACTGGGGTGGAGGGGAGAAAAGAAGGAATGGTTTTTGAGAGTTTAAAAAAATTAAGGGTGTAATCTTTAAGATAATGTAATTTACTGTGTCATTTACAAAATGTTATTTTCTGACACTTGTAAAATGAACACACTTGAAATGAAAACAAGGCCAGGGCTGAAGCTTTTGGGAGAGTTAGTTGATAAATGATCGATTATTTACATTATCATAAATTTTGTAACATCTTTTGTATTTTATTGAATTTTTAAGCTTTCTCTTTTTGTCTCTCTCATTCATTCTCTTTTTAAATTTTTCTCTCTTAAACAAAATAAGACCATTTCTAGAAGAGATTGCAGGCTCCTATCAAAAAACTGTATAGCTAATGGCGCAGTGAACTCTTTACCAAATGACAGTAGGCAAGAAGGCAATAGAAACATATTCAGCACATGTGAGACATTGGATGAAGACATCCAACTATGACTAAACAGTCATCTTTTTGAAAACCTGACACATTCATGGTGAGCTGGTGCCAAGACAAATGCAAGTAGAACTGTAGCCTGGAAATACTTAAACATTATTTGAATTCTCAGAAGTATCATTTTTACTTAAACATTGGCATGCAAAGCCAATAGTCTGAGTAATCCGGTCTTGAAGTGTAACTTTATTTGTTATGGGGATTTGCTCAGGGAAGAGAAGGGGAAAAAATAAACCCAGCCCTTCTTCATCTAGTGCAGAGAGAAAATAGTTGTTTCTGCAACACTGGAGACATTATTTGAGGCCATGTAAGTGACACTGCCTCAAGCTACTTTAACAATTCGCAAGAAAAATTTGATTTAATTGTTTTTGGTGAAATGTTCAGTTGGCACAGGCATCCGGGGACGATTCTTGTTTGTCTCTTTATTAGCAGATGGATACTAAGCTCTACCAGTAAGAATCTCATGCTACAACCAGACAGCTGGGACTGAACTGCTTAGAACCCAATGCAAGGAGCTCCCTTAATTCTCTGATGTAGTTCCTCTCTTGAAGCAGTGGAGCTGATGAGACAATCATAATCTAGGTGTTATTAATGTGGAGTCCTTTGTTTAAAAGTTTTGCAGATGTCATAGATTTGTAAATAAAACAGCTTGTGAATGTGTGTATATCTTTACTGTTTGAAGATGAAAGGTTCATAACTTGAATAAGATCTACAGAGAGATTTTATTAAAAATTATTTTTGTAGGAAACAATTGTATTGTACGTACCTATCCTTCATTAGATTCTTGTCCCATGCATGGTTTCTTGTTTCCTATGAAACAGGACACAATTACCTAATTGTACACTTACCTACCTTTAGGACTTGTCTTCTTCTCATTTCTGGTTCTTCTCCACTCCCGTTACACTTTTTGTGTGACCCACTGTGAGAACAGTTGGACATGGGGGTTTGTTTTTCCATTATAGATGAGCTATCAAGCGTTTCTGAAAATACTCTTTATTCAGTTTTGACTGACTAGATTCTTTTAACAATTCTTCAGGCTTATTTTGTTTTGAAATTTCCCAGTTTGGAAGAGTCACTCTTAAATTTGTTACTTGGTTACTATTCTAATCATCCCTTGTCAGGCTCCTTTGATGTTGTTTCTTCATCTCCCTAACTTTAAACTTGAACATATTCCAAGGATCAGTCCTTTGGCCTCTTCTATTTTCCATGTGTAGTTTGTGTCTACATATCCTCTCTAGACTCACTGTTTTAAGTACCTTCCAGGTAATAGTGATCCTTAAAACTAAAATTCCAGCCTAGACCTGTAACCTAAACTACAGAACGAAAATCCCACTGCTTACTGATATCATCCCTTAGATGTCTAATAAATGTCTCAAACACTGTGTCTGGTAACTCTTTGTTTCTATTCACTCTGGACAAACATTTTGTAGTCATTGTTGATGATTCTCTCATCCCCAGATCCAACTGTTTGGCAAACCATGGCAGCTCTATTTTTCAAAATACATGCTAAATCCAGTCGCTTTTCCCCACCTCCATGACCAACAGAGTGGTTCAAACTATCATCATTTCTTAACCTGGATAGTTGTAATCAATAGTCTCCTAACTAATCTCTCTGCTCCCGCATTTTCCTCTGCAGTTTGTTGTCAGTAGAGCAGCCAATGAAATCTTATTAAAAGTATATCACATCACCTTATTCCTCTGTTTAGAACACTTCCATGGCTTCTCATCACTCTCACCATAAAAACCTATACAGCCCTACGTGATTTGTTTCTCTCCTTCCTTCTCTGATCTTACTTCCTACTACTCTCACCTTAACTCACAATCCTACTAATTGTTTTTTAAACATCAAACTGGAACAAACTGCTTTTATGATTTTTAAATATTCTATTTTAAAATCAGAATATGCTGATATCAGTGGTAGAGGCTTGATGCCATAATTCCCTGAATTCAAAAAGGCATTCCTTCCCACATTATTTAACAAACATTTCCATAAGACACACTTCCTTCTCTATGATAGCCAGTTGTAGAGCCAGATTAGAGCTGATAAGGGACTCTAAGATCAGAATTCTTTCTGATGGGAGAACCTCTGGCAATGGCTCATTCTCATTATGCACGCTACGGTAAGCATTTAGCTCCTGGAAGAAACCCAATCACACAACAAGGGCACTTTTGCATCCTTCAATAAATGCCTGAAGTCCACAAGTTCCAGATGGAATAGAACAAGCCCTTCTAGCTCCTGTGTTAAATGGGATCCATTAGTAGAGCATCCCATTAGAAAGTATTTTCTTCTGATATTGTGCAATAGTAATCTGGCCCAATGTGTGTGTGTGTGTGGGGGGGGGGGGGTCATTACCTAGAATTGAAATAACTATGAGACAGCAAATAGCACATGTGTACTATTGACTTCAGACAAGTGGCACAATAAAGTAGTGGCCAGAAAACTGTTTAGAATCAGAAGGCTTAGGTTTATCCCAGCTGCAGCTTACTGTGTGGTCCCAATAAGTTATCCTTTTTTCTCTGAATGTCAATTTTCTTACCCAGTCTTTATTACAAAAATCAGGAGAGAAAATGTACATATGGGGCTTTGTAAACTATAAATCATTGCACAAATGCTATGCATATTTGAATCATTTTTATTGCATGTTTTCTTAAAAGCCCAATAGTTTTAAGAAATGTGTTACATGTGAAGTTGAATTGTTAAGCATTAATGATACATACTAGAAGACATTCCTTTGAATACTTCCATTTTATGCACTTGCTTATGCCATCTACAAGAAGTTCTATATTCCAATCCCTGAACTACTGCCTACAAACAATTTTCAGAGAGGAAAACAGGAGACGACAATATGTCTTTATCTTAAGGAATCAAAGCTGACTCCTGATAATGAGGAGTTTTCTTTAATGTACCCACAAATTATCTCTTCAATAATTCATTGTACATTGTTTGCCTGAAATTGACATAAAGCTTACCAATTTGTCCTTTTTTGTCTTATAAAACTTTGCACTAGTCAATTTCTATATTTCTGGTACTTTTTACATTGCCCTTAATTTCTTAAAAGATTGTTAAAGGTTATCCTGCAAATATATTTGCAAGTTTTATAATACATTAAATTTTTTTTAAAGGAAGGCATTTTTATTATTTGGGATTTCAATCTAGTCTTAGTACAGGGTAGGCTAATGGCTATTACAACAAGCTGCAAAGCTCAGTGGCCAAACGTAAAGAATACTTAATTCTCATGCAAATTCCAAGGCAAATATTTATAGTCAGGTGACTCTATTGGAGCCTTTCCGCCAAAGGTGACTTGGGGATCCCGCTCCTTCCATTTTCACATTTTTTGAGTTTTGGTTTATTTGGGGGTATTGGCCTTCCTGATTCAATTTTTACAGGTTTTTCCCTCTTTTGTATTCATCATAGGGTATGCATCCTTATTCTATCTCATGTACATGCATTCTTTTTTTCTAAATCTCAATTACTTTATTGTAGTAACTGATACATATGGATGATAGAAAAAAATAACAGCCTTAAAGTACATTTTAAATTAGACAATAAAAATATTTTTAAATATAGGTCTATTTTATTTTATTTAAGTTTGAGGGTACATGTGAAGGCTTGTTACATAGGTAAACAAGTGTCATGGAGGTTTGTTGTACAGATTATTTTATTACCCAGGTTATTAAGCCCAGTACTCAATGGTTATCTTTTCTGCTCCTCTGCCTCCTCCCACCTTCCCCCATCAAGTAGACCCCAGTGTCTATTTTTTCCTTCTTTGTGTTCTTAAGTTCTCAACATTTAGCTTCCACTTATAAGTGAGAACACGAGGTATTTAGTTTTCTGTTCCTGCATTAGTTTGCTAAGGATAATAGCCTCCAGCTCCATCCATGTTTTTGCAAAAGACATGATCTTGTTCTTTTTTATGGCTGCATAGTATTCCATGGTGTATATGTACCACATTTTCTTTATCCAGTCTATCATTAATGGGCATTTAGGTTGATTCCATGCCTTTGCTATTGTAAATAGTTCTGCAATGAGCATTTGCTTGCATGTGTCTTTCTGGCAGAACGATTTCTATTTCTCTGGGTATTATACCCAGTAATGGGATGGCTGGGTCAAACGGTAGTTCTGCTTTTAGCTCTTTAAGGATTTGCCGTACTGCTTTCCACAATGATTGAACTAATTTATATTCCCACTAACAGTGTATAATTGTTCCTTTTCTCCACAACCTTGCCAGCATCTGTTGTTTCTTGACTTTTTAATAGTAGCCATTCTGACTGGTGTGAGATGGTATCTCATTGTGGTTTTGATTTGCATTTCTCTAATAAACAATGATATTGAGCTTTTTTACATATGCTTGTTGGCTTCATGTATGTCTTCTTTTGAATCATGTCTGTTCATGTCCTTTGCCCACTTTTTAATCGAGTTGCTTGTTTTTCTCTTGTAAATGCATTTAAGTTCTTTACACACCCTGGATATTAGACATTTGCCAGATACATAGTTTGAAAATATTTTCTCCCATTCTGTAGATTGTCTGTTTACACTGTTGATAGTTTCTTTTGCTGTGCAGAGTTTAATTAGATCCTACTTGTCAATTTTTGCTTTTTAAAAAATTTTTGATTTCTTGTGATTGTTTTGGGGTACACACACTCTTGAAAACTGGCTTCCCTGTGTAGCCATATGGGTTCATGTATGTTTGTTTTAATCCTTGTTCTTTACTCCTAATGCCAAAGAGATATTTTCAAGATCATGGTCATTTCCACAGGTCAAGCTACTGTTTTCTTGTGCTCAGAATCTAGTCTGCAGTAGCAAATTTCTTCATTGTTTTATCTGCTCTCTTCCATATGATGTTCCTGGTCCTGACAAGTTGTACCTTGGCTATGAGTCACACAGCCATTTGCTATAAACATGCATACCTGCATACCATGTGTCACACCATCTAAACACCCAGTAGTTCTCTTCTCATGTATTGTATATTCAGGATTCCCTGTTTCCATGCAAATCAGCATTGCCATCTAAGACTGCTCATTTCTGGAAAGTTCTGCAGAAGACCTTAATTCTTCATGGGGACAAAATTATTTCTCTTGTAAACCCAGAGGTCTTTTTCTGTTCTGGCTGATGTCTGTGTCTCTGAGGTTTCCTCACAAGCTGTTGAGTTAGAAGCAGCCTTCAGGCAATGTCAGTAGAAAAAAAATGCATTTAATTGAGGTTGAAAAAATTTCTCCTACTAAGCAATACAACATCACCCTCTACATGTATTTACAAGATACTTTGAGACCCTTTCCTTAGAGGAAAGCTATAAATCAAGAGACCTTTTTGTTCTATAATCTTTTAAAAGCAAAATAATATTGGTTAAAAAAAATGTTTTATGTCCTAAAAAGAGAAAGTTGAGAGTAACATAATTTAAATGACTGATTCTAGATTGAGCTGTTACTTAGAAATAAAGCAACAGTACTGAAATTTTTGTGTTCTTTTGTTTTCCCAGGTGTTAGCAAGCCCTCCCGGCTTAACTGGCTTTATGTTTACTCCATCCTTTGGATCATTAATAATGACAGTAAATAAAACCCAACCAAGGAAGCTAGTTCTTTTAATCTGACAGGTACTGAAGAGGGAGTCATGCCTCAAAGTGAAGAAATACCTGCAGCCAAAAATCCCTAAGTTTCCCATATAACAACTGAGTTCTTTAGCAATACAATTTTTAAATTTTAATAGTTAGGAAAGACACTTGGCTAAGTAAACCACGGTCCCCTATCCCCCGAGCCCTGGGCACTCTCTATTAATGCTACCCAGTCTCAATATGCTTGAGGCTTGGTCTTTAGATGTGTGCTCATTTTCACCTGTACTTGGTTTATCTATTTGTTTAACATATGAAATATATTTTAGGAAAAATATAAAAAATAAGTCACTAGAAAGAACAAAAATTACTTCTAATTTTACCAACAGGAGAAAACTAAGTTTATCAATTGAATATGCATCATAATAAACACTCTCCATGCACAGAATTAGAAATGCATTTTTTTAGAAATACATAATTTATTTACCCCAAGTGGGAATAGTCTACAAAGATTTTTCCTGATTTTTACAATAAATAATAAACTATAGATTATAATAGCCAAATAATCACCAATGGCCCCATTAAGAAATAGAATTTCTTTAATACCATTGAGTCAAGATGTATTCCTCTTCCTGGTGCCATTCCCTGCATCATGGAGGAATTTGGAATTTTATTTTGCTTGTTGCACTACTTTCTTTGTAGTTTCATTAAATATGTATGAGCGTCTATATAATATATTAGTTTGCTTTTGTTTGTATTTAAATTTCATGAAGATGATGCTGTGGAAAGAACTGTGTCCCCAAAATTTCATGCTTCAGTCCTAACCCGAAATGTGATTGTATCTGGACATAGGGTCTTTAGGATGTAATTAAAATTAAATAAGATCTTAAGGTTGCGACCTTAATTTGATAGGACTCTGGCTTTATAAGAAGATAAGGATCTCTCTCCCTCAATATCTCTCTCTCTCTATCTCTCTCTCTTTTTCTGCCATGTGAGGACACAGTAAGAAGGTGGCTATCTGCCAACCATGCAGAGAGCCCTCACCAGGAACTGAGGTAGCCTGTACTCAGTTCAGTAAATCTTGGATTTAGCCTCCAGAATGGTAAGAAAATACATTTCTGTCATTTAAACCACCTAGTCTATGGCATTTTGTTATGATTGCCTTAGTAGGAGAGATGATATGAATTTTTAGTGTTATTTGTGGCTTGCTTCTTCACCCAACACTATGGCTCCAGTGTCATGCATGTCGATGCCTGCAGCTTTATTTCAATATTGATATCTATACAGAATTCTATTTTTGAATGTTTCACAATTTATTTCCCATCCCATGATGATGTGTTTAGTTTGTTTGCAGTTTTCTGCTATTAAAAACATTTTACAAATGTTCCCGTTAATCCATATCTTTACCAATACTTGTTAAACTCTGGTTTGGGCCATTCTAGCTGGGGTAAAACAGTATCTCACTGTCACCTTATTTGCATTTTGCGTATTATTAAGAGATTACACATCTATACTTCAGGTCACTTTCACCTTTTTCCTAGAAATATCTACTTAAGTGTTTGTGATTTTTCCACTAGCTCGTTTATTTATTTCATACTAATTTCTGTTATGTCCTATATTTTCTAGTTATTTGCTAATATTACATGATAAAAATATCTTCTCTAGTTTTGTCTCTCTTTTTCTATGTGATGCGTTTTGATGAACAGAAGATTTTAAACTGTATGGAGTGAAAGTTATCAATATTGCCTTTATAGTTACTATTTTTGTAATACATTTTTAAAATACTGCCTACTCAGAATGCATACATATATTTTACAGTATGAAGTAGAGAACACATTTTTCCCTACATAGAAAATTATTTTTCACACCATATATTGAGTAATTTCTTCTGTATTAATCTATAATGTTATTTTTGACATATATCTAATATTTCCCCCTCTCCCACTCCTGCTGTTCTCTCTCTTTGTGTGTGTACAATATTATTTCAACAACCTAATTTTTTTATCCCTTTCTTTTTATTTATTTATTTATTTATTTATTTATTTTTTTGAGACAGAGTTTTGTTCTTGTCACCCAGGCTAGAGTGCAGTGGCACGATCTCAGCTCACTGCAACCTCCGCCTCCCGGGTTCAAGTGATTATCCTGCCCCAACCTCCTGAGTAGCTGGGATTACAGGAACGTGCCACCACGCCCAGCTAATTTTTTCTATTTTTAGTAGGGACAGGGTTTCATCATGTTGGCCAGGCTGGTCTCAAACTCCTGACCTCAGGTGATCCATCCACCTCGGCCTCCCAAAGCGCAGGGATTAGAGGCATGAGCAACTGCTCCCGGCCTTTTTACCCCTTTCTTGAAAGCACACTCTCTTAATAGAGCTTTAGAACTAGCCTCAATGTATAGTGGGGCAATTCTTTCCTAAGGTAATTTTGTATTTTTTGCTTTTCCGTCTAAATTTTAGAATCACATTGTCAAAGCGCATGGGGAAAAAAAAACATCTGTTGGGATTTTTACTGGGATTGCACTGGAGTTATAGATCAATTTGGAGAAGGGAAAATATATTTATATCATTGAATATCCTTTTCTATGTACATGTATATTGTGTTATAAATGTTATAGATACTAATTTATAATCTAATTTTTATTTAGCACTAGATCTCAGGCATCAAGATATGATGACAACTATATTTCTATACAACATTATAAATATTGACTAGTATTTCATTCATGATTGTGATATAGTTTATTTAGCCATTCTCCTTTATTTTGATGTTTTTGTGATTTCTTTTGTTTAATATTTAATTATTGCAGTAAAAAGTGCAGTAATATCCTTGGTTAGTTCCTTTAATTAAACTCTTTAAAGTGGAATTTCTAGATAAAATTTATAAATATAAAAATATTTTGAAATTGCATCCTAAAAGTAGTGTTTAATAAAATTGGTTTTACAGCTATCACCAGTAGTATATGAGAATGATTCCTTAAACCCTTAACAGCAGTTCATTATTTTAATCAACACTCATTTCAGAGGAAAGAACGTATCTTGTTTTGGTTTTAATTTTAATTAATTTGAAATATTTTCTTCTTCTTCTTTTTAAAATATTTTTACTATACCTGTTTACACTATTTGCCTTTTTTTTTTTTATGAGTTCTTACTCTGTCGCCCAGGCTGGAGTGCAGTGGCATAATGTCAGCTCACTACAATCTCCACCTCCTGGCTTCAAGCAATTCTCCTGCCTCAGCCTCCTGAGTAGGTGAAGGCTACAGGCATGCACCACCACTCCCAGCTGTGTGTGTGTGTGTGTGTGTGTGTGTGTGTGTGTGTGTGTAGTTTTAGTAGAGACGGTGTTTCACCATGTTGGCCAGGCTGGTCTCGAACTCCTGACCTCTAGTGATCCCCCACCTCGGCCTTCCAAAGTGCTGGGATTACGGGCATGAGCCACCATGCCCGGCCTATTTGCCCTTTTTTAAAAAGTGGGTTGCCTTTTTCATACGGACTTGTAATTTTTTTTTTTTTTTGTATTTTAAGCATATCCTCACTTATCTGATGTAAATGACCAAATACCTAATTCATGCAAGGCTTAAAACCTAGGTGACGGGTTGGCTTAAAACCTAGGTGACGGGTTGATAGGTGCAGCAAACCACCATGACACATGAATACTTATGTAACAAATCTGCACGTTCAACACATGTATTTAAGAACTTAAAGTAAAATAATTTTTTTTAAAAATGCAAAGAAACCATAGATTAAAGAGTCAACAAAATAAAAAGAAAACAAAAAATATTTGATTAACCCAAAAGACAGCAGGAAAGAAGGAACAGAGATTAAAACATATGGGATAAATACAAAACTAATAGAAAATTGATATAATTTTTTTAAAAAGTTATGAATATATTGCAAAAGGTACCGTACACAAAGCCAGTGGAGAAATATTTTTGGAAAAATGATTTACAAAACAAAGATGACGAAGGGGGTTATGACATATATTATAAAAATACTTATAAATTGACCTAAACAAGACAATAAGGATATAAGCATTAGCATTAGTTCATAAAAGAGCAAATCCAAATATACAAAAAAAGAAAACTCACAACTAATTAAATAAATGAAAATTACTGTAACTAATATTCTACATCACATTGTTTAGAAAAGTATATAGATATCACATATCTGCATAGCCTATAGATAAAAAGTGCCCACTCATAAATAACTAGTGTAAATGTAAACGCTATAGTCACTTAGAAGAAAATCTGGCCACATGTATTAAATTTTTTAAATTAACATATGTATTTGTTGTGGGTTTAATTGTGTCTCCCAAAATGATATGTTGACATCCTAATACCAAGTACCTGTGAATTGGACATCTGTTGTTTGCAGATGTAATTAAGATGGGTCATACTTAAGTAGTGTGGGCCTCTAATCCAATGTGACTGGAGTCCTACTAAGGGAGCAGGGTCAGAGGCAGACATGGGAGAATGCCATGTGATGACGGAGGCTGAGATTGAAGTGTTGCAACTGCAATCCAAGGAATGCCAACATTTGGTGGCCACCATGACAAGGTAGAAGGAGGCAAGGAAGGCTCCAACCAGTGTCTCAGAGGAAGCATGGCCCTGGTGACATGCTGAGTTTACGCTTCCAGCCTCCAGAGCTATAAGAAGGTAAATGTCTGTTTTCTGTGGTTCCCTGTTACAGCAGCCTTAAAAAATCATTGCAATATTTGACCTACAAATCCCACCCATGAAACCTCTCTCCTTAAAATAAAAAAACTACAAGCATTCAATTATACACGTGCAGGGTGTTTTTTTGCAGCCATGATAGGAATAGTGCAATGAGGAAATAAACAAATGAAAAGAGAATTACTCATCAAGAGGAATACATTATGGTACCCAGAAATATCATGTGGTCATGTACAGTCAAATAAATCATAATTATATTAGTTGAACTAGAAGGATTTGCACAATGTAGTTTAGTGAGAGAAAGTAGAATGCAGAAAATTACGCATACTCTGATATTGGTTTTAGAAAATAAAGAATCCTGTGTGTGTGTGTGTGTGAAATCATTCAGAAAAATATATAGATAACACGTATCTGTATAGCATATGGATAAAAAGAACCCACTCATAAATAACTAGTATAAATGTAAATGTAAATGCTACCATGTGTGGGTTTGTGTGCATGCATGTGTGTGTGTTTGTGCATGTGCATGTATGTGTGTGTGAGAGTGTGTGTGTTTGCATGTGTGCGTGCGTCTGTGTGTGTACTTGTGTTTTTTTTCTAGAGGTGCTGCCTGAAAAGATTGAGGATTTCTCAGTCACACTGGGATTTTGAAGCTTCTCCAATTCTCTAACTCTCAAAAATGTTCCTCAAATCGTGGTGAACCTACCATATTGAAGTCTCAAAGTCCCTGTGGCAACATTTTGTTTTGGTTTGTCTTTTCTTAAGCTTCCTGCCAGACAAAGCAATCCCAAAATAAGTCATCTGTGCCAGGAAAACAAGCACCAGATGAAGAGGTGCCTCTGCTTTCTGGCCTCCAACCTCACAGCAGCCTTCTTTTTACTGTAACAGGATATTAACAGAGTTTTGCAAAGGTATCTCCATTTATTTCCTCTAACAATAGCCACTTTCTGAGCATGCTGGATTTCTGCTTGCCCATAATAAATACTCAATAAATATTTATTGAAGTAAGTGATATGACTTAATCTATACAGAGTACAACAGAAAGTCCTCAAAAATCTGTGGTATGAGAATGAATTTATTCTACACGCATGCAACAGCTAGTCAGTGTGTATCAAAATAAATAAAGAAAAAAATCTGACCTTATAGAAATGATATCAGAAATTGTTTAAAATCTGTAGTATGTGGATTCTTCTTACAGTCTCAAGGTTAACAGAGGTTTTACCAATTTTCCTTTTCTCTTTTTTTCTTTTTTGTCACTTCTTTCCTCTTTTGTGAGAGAGGAGGCAAATGCCTGCTTATACATCATCTTTTTGTCAAATTATCTCCTTTACCTATATTGAACTCCTTACCAATGTGAAATGTAACATGTCTTTCTTTTTTTAATTTATTTTTAAGCTGCGATGTGTTTTCTTACATTAACATAAGTACTATTTCTTTTTGTAATTTTAATTTTTGTCTTAAGTTCTGGGGGATATCTTAATTTTTTTAATTTTTTAATTTTTATCTTAAGTTCTGCAGGATGTGCAGGTTCTTTCCATAGGTAAATGTGTGCCATGGTGGTTTGCTGCACCTATCAAGCCATCACCTAGGTATCATGCCCAGCATGCATTAGCCATTTTTCCTAATGCTCTCCCTCCCCGCACCCAACCCCCAACAGACGGCAGTATGTGTTGTTACCCTCCCTGTGTCTATGTGTTCTTACTCTTCAGCTCCCATTTTTATGTGAGAACATGCGGTGTTTGGCTTTCTGTTCCTGCGGTAGTTTGCTGAGGATAATGACTTCCAGCTTCATCTATGTCCCTGTAAAGAACATGATCTCATTCCTTTTTATGGCTGTATAGTATTCCATGGTGTATATGTACCATATTTTCTTTATCCAGTCTACCATTGATGGGCATTTGGGTTGATTCCATGTCTTTGCTATTGTGAACAATGAACAACACATGCATGTGTCTTTGTAATAGAATGATTTATATTCCTTTGGGTATATACTAATTTATATTCCCACCAACAGTGTAAAAGTGTTCTTATTTATCCACAACCTCGCCAGCATCTGTTGTTTCTTAACATTTTTTTTTTTTTTCTGAGACAGAGTTTCACTCTTTCATCCAGATTGGAGTGAAGTGGCATGATCTTGGCTCACTGCAACCTCTGCCCCCTGGGTTCAGGCAATTCTCCTGCTTTAGCCTCTCAAGTAGCTGGGATTATAGGTGCCCACCACCATGCCCAGCTAATTTTTGTATTTTTACTAGAGATGGGGTTTCGCCATGTTGGCAGGGCTGGTCTCGAACTCCTGACCTCAGGTGATCCACCTGCCTTGGCCTCCCAAAGTGCTAGGATTACAGGCATGAGCCACCGTGCCGGACCCTGTTTCTTAACTTTTTAGTAATGGTGGTTCTGACTGGAGTGAGATGGTATCTCATTGTGGTTTTGATTTGCATTTCTTTAATGATCAGTGATGTTGAGCTGTTTGTCATATATTTGTTGGCTGCATGAATTTTTTCTTTTGAAAAGTGTCTGTTCATGTCCTTTGCCCACTTTTCAATGGGGTTGTTAATTTTTAGTATTATTTCTTATCAGTGATACTTCCCAAACACAAACTGCATCCGATGTCACAGAGGTATTTCCAAAGTTCTTCATATTTATAAGAACAGCACAAATTATTTTCTAATGGCCTCCAGCACACAGCTTCTTAAAGGGCTAGTTTGGGTGCACACAAACAGCCCATTTCCCCACAACACTCTCCCAAAGGGACATCTGGTAGACCCTCTATGACTATCCAGTATTTCATCACATTCAGCAGCGAATGGAAAAGTGCTGTTCCTCACCTGGCAATTTTAATTGGAAAATAATCTCAACCCATATATTTTGAAAATAATTTAATTATATTCAATTTGTTGATGGGTAACATAATTGAGATTAGTATTGTTCTGTGACCCCCAAATGGCAGTTACTTCTAAAATATTGTTAAATAATCATTGTGTAATATTATATCATAATTTTCCAGATTGCTGGGCCTCATCAAAGACCTTCTAGGGATGAGTCAAAGAGTTACGTGCTTTTAATCATCTCCCTTTGAGTCTTCATATGCAAACTAAAATTGATCATCCTTGCCTAGCACTGAAACAAATTCTTGAGTAAAAATAATCTGGAAAGACTTATTTCTTAATCTTCATTTATGCTAGTGTACATGTGATGAGAAACAAATGTAGATGCTGAGAAAATAAATTCTGAAACATATTAATTATTATGGGTTTTTTTCCTGTAAACCAGAATTTTCAGGTTCATTATGCTTGCTTCTATTTTCAGTAATCTATTTTGGAAGGAAACATGATATGGGAAATAGATTCATAATACGGTTTTAACTTCACCAGAATCAGAATATAGGACAAACCAATGACATTTGTCAAATTTTATCTGAATTATAATTCTTTTTTATTTTTCTATTGAATTCTTCTTTCCAAGTGCTTTATTCTTTCTTTCTAGGAACCTTCAAAACTTACTTAATAGCAATTCTTATTTTACCAAAACCTTGACTTTATTACTGTCATTATTCTGGAGGAATTAAATTGTAAATACAAGGCCTGAAATAGAATTAATTCCTTTATTTTATATAGATTAGACATAAAACCAGACTCATAGGTAGGTTACAGATACACCCTGAAATGTCTGGAATATTCAGAATGAAGATGATAGATAGATAGATAGATAGATAGACAGATAGATACAATAAAATTGTGTCTATGCATGTGTGTGTACACATTTGTGGGAAGGACATAGAGATATTACAAGATCAACATATATTACAACATCCATAATTTTAATAAAAAGGAAAGTCATAATCTATTCAATATCAAACTATGTATTGAACACACACGGTGCCCCATGGCCTACCGGGGAAGATCAAACATAAATTTCTGTTCCAAAAGTACAATGTGATACATGCTGCAATGGGAATTGGCATGCAGAGGCCAAAACGGAGGGCAGAGGCACCAGTTGAACCCAAATTCACACGTCAAAATTCATTTCAAGAGTAACATCAATTGCTGAGTTTATGGGAAATGCGATCGTAGGCAAATCTGGAAACTGCAAGTTTTGTTTTCTAATTTTGTACATAATTTTTTAAACATTCACAGTAGAAATCAGCTGCCCATCCATTCAACCAAACTAATAAAACAAGAGAGAACAGGTCTGAAAACATCCACTGGGGCCTCTGAGTTGGTTGAAAAAACTGTTAGAAATTATTTTGTCCCCTTAAGGTAGTTTTTGTCACGGTTCCCAGTAATTGGAAATTTTCTATGGTTGTTAAAGAATCATTAAAATAGCCATTTCTTCATCAATTAGAATCTTGCTGCCAGATTGTATGACATTTCATGAACCAGCTTTAATTTGTTATACATTGTTCCCAGAAGGTGAGATGAGATTACAGGGACTTGTGTGTTACTTGAGAGATGTATTTTACACTTAACCACTCATGGTCCCTTTCTAGTAATTCAAATATAACGGCGTGATCTTGATTAGCTACCCTTCTGCATCAGCATTTTTAGATGGTTCTTCATGAAATTTTCACTACAATTAAAAATGCAATTAAAATGGATTATCTAAATCAAAGTCAATCTTTAATTACTGCATACTATCTAGATCCTTATTTCACGATAGAACAGATAAAATTCTAACAATTGCAGTGCTAATGCCTTCATTATTAAAAACATAATAATACCAGTCTTTTGAGGCTCATCTTATTTCTTATCAGTTTCTTTTTTAGGTTGTCATCGAGACGTTCACTTCCTTTAACAACCATGCCTACTTAGTCCTGAGCAGGTCTTTATATGCTTCCCCTAAGAAAAATTAAATTATACAAAGTTCATCCAATTAATCCAAGTCCTTTCATGTAAAAGAAATGAGTGCCTCAATGTTGAACTTGTTCCAGCTCTTTTTTACTTTTCCTTTCTTTTTTCCATTGTTAATTCTTGCAAAAACAATTAAGAAAATTTTGAAAAAGAGAGCAAATTCCTGATAATTCCACTCACTGCCATATCGAGTCTTTACTTTCTTAGTTGTACCTTGTATTATAAACCATGCATCATTTCACATGCAAACTTCGCATTCCAATTCTTTCAATTGTGTTAATATTGGCTAGTGAAGTCAAAACTCTTGAACTTGAAAGTCAAAGGCCCTAGTTTCAATCTTCAATACCGTCTATTAGTTAAGTAACAGTGGAAAAGCTCCCTAAGCTGTGTGAACTTCTACTTCCTCATCTGTACACTGAGGACGACAAAATACATACCTCGAGGTTTGGTTGAGAAACTTTGAGGTGATTTATATAAAGTTCCTGCTGTACAGTATGTACTCAATGAAGAGTGGCTACTTTTATTAGATCATAAACAGTTTCCATGTTACTAACCAGACTTTATGACTATTAAGATAGCATCTTAACCTACGACTGTATAAATATTTTATGATCAATAAATCTTAATTGGTAGACTCTGAGAATAAAGATGGTGTTTTTCCAACCCCTCAATATTTGCATACGTAAAAGTATTTAGCTACTATTTTAAAGCACCTAACCGGTATCTGATGTTAAGTGCATGCAATCATGAAACATCTTTATGAAACACCTAACAGGATATGGCATTACATGAAGCTTTTATAAAAGCAATTAAACCAAAATAGCCTTTACCTCCTGGCAACTTAAACTCCAGCCAAATATTGATGCAGACTAAATTATTAAGGGATCAAAACAAATAGTCATTAAATTAGTTAAATATTATTATTGCATTTAATAAAAGACCAAATGTTTTTGTTGGGATAAAGAGTAGATAAATTATTTCTAAGCCTGCATATCAAAGGAAACCCTAACTCTTTCATGACACAGAGAGAAAGCCCACTGAGCAAAATGGAAATTCTGAAGCATTCGGTTACTAACCAGGCAGAACAATATAATAGCATGTAGGTGACATAACTTGAATTAAAAAACTGAAAGGAAAAATAGAAACTACCGTAGAATATGGAGAGAATTGGTCTAGTTTGTGTGGTGCTATGAATGACATTGCAATACTCAAAGATGAAGATACTGATGTGAAAATTTGTGACTGCCAAAAGTGGCAAGAACCAAGCTAGCTACAGAGAAGAAAGTATGGAAAGTGAAGTTAAACAGTCATCAGGCTGGGTGCAGTGGCTCATGCCTATAATCTCAGCTTTTTGGGAGGCCAAGGCGGGAGGAGTGCTTGAATCCAGGAGTTCAAGACCAGCCTGGGCAACATAGTAAGACTTCGTCTCTACAAAAAATGAACAAACTTATGCAGGCTTGGTGGTGCATGCTTATAGTCCCAGCTACTCGGAAGGCTCAGGTGGAGAATCACTTGAGTCTGAGAGGTTGAGGCTGCAGTGGGCTGAGATCACACCACTGCACTCCTGTGTGACAGAGGGGGTGAGGAGTAAAAGACTACACATGGGTACAGTGTACACTGCTCAGATGATGGGTGCCCCAAAACCTCAGTAATTACCCCTAAAGAACCTATCCATGTAACCAAAAACCACCTGTTCCCCAAAAACTATTGAAATTAGTTAATTAGTTTCAAAAAATAAGTAACATAAAAATTTTTTAAAAAATAAAAACTATCATCAGGACACATCAGTGCTAAAACTATCCAGTCTACAAAATGATAACTTTGACCTTGTCCAAGTTTATGATGCCAGTGAATTTATGGCTAGTTTTCACTCAATTGTGTAATGAATATTTATCGTCTTCATATTGCAATTCTCTATAGTCAGTTTTAACTTGGGTTAAAAAATAAGTTTATCATCATTGTTGTTTCTTTTATTGTGGCAGAAAAATGGATTCTCAGAGGATTATGGCCTTTTGTATCATGATGAAGTTTAAAAAAAAGAACAAGTCTTTTGAAATGTTTTTAAAATTTCTTGCTGATTGACATTTTAGTTCCCATGCTTTCCTTGAAGATTAACTATTATAAAAATCCAATAGCTGGATATATTTTATAATGTCACCAAATGCTCTTTTGAGTTTGTGAAGGAAGTACAGAAGCAATGTCCTTAGTTAGAAAGAACAGCAAATAATCAATAAGACAAAACGACAGAGCTTCAGAGCTCATGGGTAATACATTATAGCTCAAAAATAACAAAAGACTACTTTTACAATTTCAGTAGCATTCATCAAGAACAATCCTTAAAAGTAATTCCTTTTTGTATGAATCAATTGCAAAAAAAAAGGATACTTTATAAGTGAGAAAAATACATGCGTGATAGCTAATGCTTAAATTTCTGATCTCTAGTTTAATCATAGGGATTATTGATATAAAATAATAATGTACTGCCCACGTAATAGGACTCACCTTTGATTTCTAAAATGAAAAAAGAAAATGCACTTTTTGGAATGATCCAAATGTTGTTCATCATTTTATCTTCTAGTTAGCTTAAGCAGTCTTATTTCATTTATTCTACAGTCTATGGTGCATTAGGTCAATATTTCTGAACACATCTTCTTTGATGTAATTTTTCTTTCTAGATAGGATTATGTATCCATTAGGATTTTATTTGGAAAAGGTTACATAGTAAAATATAGTCAAATAACTTGAATAAGCAATAGTGTCATTACAATTAGCATGCTTTTTATTTCAGGACATCTTGGAGACTTCGGTAGGGTAAGAATTGTAAATACTCCACACCCTGTTAGATTCTTACACTTCAGTAGCATTAATTGACAGAACAACCAACATGAACAAAAA